>NC_000009.12:65048124-65080082 GCF_000001405.40 Homo sapiens | reverse complement strand
GTGTTTCAAACCTGCTCTATGAAAGGGAATGTTCAACTCTGTGACGTGAATGCGGATATCACAAAGCCGTTTCTGAGAATGTTACTGTCTAGGTTTTCTATGAAGATACTCCCGTTTCCAACGAAATCCACAAAGCCATCCAAATATCCACTTGCAGATTCTACAAAAATCGTGTTTCCAAACTGCTCTGTCAAACGAAATGTTCAACTCTGTGAGTTGAGGACACACATCACAAACAAGTTTCTGCGAATGCTTCTGTCTAGTTTGCATGGGAAGATATTTCCTTGTTCACCATAGGCCTGAAAGCGCTCAAAATGTCCACTTCCAGATACTGCAGAAAGAGGGTTTGAAACCTGCTCTATGAAAGGGAACGTTCAACTCTGTGACTTGAACGCAAACATCATAAAGAAGCTTCTGAGAATGCTGCTGTCTGCTTTGTACATGTAATCCCGTTTCCAACGTAACCCTCAAAGCTATCCAAATATGCTCCTGCAGATTCCACGAAAAGACGCTTTCAAGCCTGCCCTTAGAAAGGGAATATTCAACTCTCTGATATCAATGCAGATATCACAAAGTAGTTTCTGAGAGTGCTTCTGTCTAGGTTTTATGTGAAGATATTCCCGTTTCCAACGAAAGAGTTAGGGCTATCCATGTATCAGTTTGGATGGGAAGATATTTCCTTGTTCACCATAGGCCTGAAAGCGCTCGAAATGTCCACTTCCAGATACTGCAGAAAGAGGGTTTGAAACCTGCCCTATGAAAGGGAATCTTCAACTCTGTGACTTAAAAGCAAACATCACAAAGATGTTTCTGCGAATGCTGCTGTCTACTTTGTATATGTAATTCCGTTTCCAACGAAATCCTCAAAGCTATCCAAATATCCTCCTGCAGATTCCACGAAAAGACGCTTTCAAGCCTGCCCTTAGAAAGGGAATATTCAACTCTGTGATATGAATGCAGATATCACAAAGTAGTTTCTGAGAGTGCTTCTGTCTAGATTTTATATGAAGATATTCCCATTTCCAACGAAATAGTTAGAGCTATCCATATATCAACTTGCAAATTCTATAGAAAGTGTGTTTCCAAACTGCTGTATCATAAGAAAGGTTGAACTCTGTTAGTTGAGGACACACATCACAAAGACGTTTCTGAGAATGCTTCTGTCTAGTTTTTATGTTAAGATATTTCCTTTTTCAACATAGGCCTGAAATCGCTCGAAATGTCCACTTCCAGATACTACAGAAAGAGTGTTTCAAACCTGATCTGTGGAAGAGAATATTCAACTCTGTGACTTTAAAGCAAACATCACAAAGAATCTCCTGAGAATTCTGCTGTCTACTTTTTATATGTATTCCATTTCCAACGAAATCCTCAGATCTATCCTAATATCCATTTGCAGATTCCACAAAAAGAGCTTTTCAAAACTGATCTATTAAGAGAAAGGTTCCACTCTGTTAGTTGAGTACATATATCCCAAAGAAGTTTCTTAGAATGCTTCTGTCTATTTTTGATGTAAGACATTTCCTTTTTCACCAAAGGTGTGAAAGCGCTTCAAATGTCCACTTCCAGATACTACAAAAAGGGTGTTTCAAACCTGCTTTACGAAAGTAAATGTTCAACTCTGTGACTTGAATGCAGATATCACAAAGCAGTTTATGAGAGTGCCACTGTCTAGATTTTATATGAAGGTATTCCCGTTTCCAACGAAATCGTTAGAGCTATCCAAATATCCACTTACAGATTCTATAAAAAGAGTGTTTCCAAACTGCTGTATCAAAAGACAGGTTGTACTCTGTTAGTTGAGGACACACATCACAAAGAAGTTTCTGAGAATGCCTCTGTCTAGATTTCACCTGAAGATATTCCGGTTTCCAATGAAATCCTTAAAGCTCTCCAAATATCCACTTGCAGATTCTCCAAAAGAGTCTCTCAAAACTGCTCTGTAAATAGAAATGTTCAACTCTGTTAGTTGAGGACATACGTCACAAACCAGTTTGTGAGAATGCTTCTGTCTAGTTTTTATAGGAAGATATTTCCTTTTTCACCATAAGCGTCCAAGCCCTCCAAGTGTCCACATCCAGATACTACAGAAAGAGTGTTTCAAACCTGCTCTATGAAAGGGAATGTTCAACTCTGTGAAGTGAATGCTGATATCACAAATCCGTTTCTGAGAATGTTTCTGTCTAGGTTTTCTATGAAGATACTCCCGTTTCCAACGAAATCCACAAAGCTATCCAAATATCCACTTGCAGATTCTACAAAAAGCGTGTTTTCAAACTGCTCTGTCAAACGAAATGTTCAACTCTGTCAGTTGAGGACACACATCGCAAACAAGTTTCTGCGAATGCTTCTGTCTTGTTTTTATGGGAAGATATTTCCTTTTTCACCATAGGCCTGAAAGCGCTCGAAATGTCCACTTCCAGATACTGCCGAAAGAGGGTTTGAAACCTGCTCTATGAAAGGGAATGTTGAACTCTGTGACTTAAAAGCAAACATCACAAAGAAGCTTCTGAGAATGCTGCTGTCTACTTTGTATATGTAATCCCGTTTCCAACGAAGTCCTGAAAGCTATCCAAATATCCTCCTGCAGATTCCACAGAAAGACGGTTTCAAACCTGCTCTTAGGAAGGGAATATTCACCTCTGTGATATGAATGCAGATATCACAAAGTAGTTTCTGACAGTGCTTCTGTCTAGATTTTATATGAAGATATTCCCTTTTCAAACGAAATAGTTTGAGCTATCCATATATCAACTTGCAAATTCTATAAACAGAGTGTTTCCAAACTGCTGTATCATAAGACAGGTTGAACTCTGTTAGTTGAGGACACACATCACAAAGACGTTTCTGAGAATGCTTCTGTGTAGATTTTACATGAAAATATTCCCGTTTGCAACCAAATCCTTAAAGCCATCCAAATATCCACTTGCAGATTCTGCAGAAAGAGTGTTTCAAAACTTTTGTATCAAAAGAATTGTTGAACTCTGTTAGTTGAGGACACACATCACAAACAAGTTTCTGACAATGCTTCAATCTAGTTTTTATGGGAAGATATTTCCTTTTTCACCATAGGCCTGAAAGCTTTCGAAATATCCACTTCCAGATACTACAGTAAGAGTGTTACAAACCTGCTCTATGAAAGGGAAAGTTCAACTCTGTGACTTAAAAGCAAACATCACAAAGAAGTTTGTGAGAATGCTTTTGTCTAGTTTTTATGGGAAGACATTTCCCTTTTCATCAAAGGTGTCAAAGCGCTCCAAATGTTCACTTCCAAATACTATAAAAAGAGTGTTTCAAACCTGCTCTAAGAAAGGGAATGTTCAACTCTGTGAACTGAATGCAGATATCACAAAGTTTTTTCCGTGAGTGCTTCTGTCTAGATTTTAGATGAAGATATTCCCATTTCCAACGATATCGTTAGAGCTATCCAAATATCCACTTTCAGATTCTACAAAAAGAGTGTTTCCATACGGCTGTATCCAAAGAAAGGTTGAACTCTGTTAGTTGAGGACACAAATCACAGAGAAGTTTCTGAGAAAGCTTCTGTGTAGATTTTATATGAAGATATTTCCGTTTCCAACGATATCATTAAAGCAATCCAAATATCAACTTGCAGATTCTACAAAAATAGTGTATCAAAGCTTCTCTGTAAAAAGGAAGGTTGCACTCTGTTATCTGAGTACACAAATTATAAACATGTTTCTGAGAATCCTTCTGTCTATTTTTCATGGGAAGATATTTCCATTTTCACCATAGGCGTCAGAGCGCTCCAAATGTCCACTTCCCGATAGTACAAGAAGAGTGTTTCAAACCGACTCTATGAAAGGGAATGTTTAACTCTACGAATCAAATGAAATGATCACAAAGAAGTTTCTGAGAATGCTTTGGTCTAGATTTTATATTAAGATACTCCCGTTTCCAATGAAATCCTCTAAGCTATCCAAATATCCACTTGCAGTTTCTTCAAAAACAGTGTTTCAAAACTGCTCTGTCAAAAGAAAGGTTCAACTCTGTTAGTTGAGTACACATGTCATAAACAAGTTTCTGAGAATGCTTCTGTCTATTTTTTATGGGAAGATATTTCCTTTTTCACCATAAGTGTCAAAGCGCTCGAAATGTCCACTTCCACATACTACAAAAAGAGTGTTACAAACCTACTCTATGAAAGGGAATGTTCAACTCTATGTGTTGAATGCAAACATCAGAAAGAAATTTCTGAGAATGCTGCTGTCTACTTTTTATATGAATGCCCGCTTCCAACGAAATCGTCAAAGCAACCCAAATATCCACTTGCAGATTCCACAAAAAGAGTGTTTCAAAACTGCTCTATCAACAGAAAGGTTGAACTGTGTTATTTGAGGACACACATCACAAAGAGTTTTCTGAGAATGCTTCTGTGTAGATTTTACGTGAAGATATTGCCGTTTCCAACGAAATCCTTCAAGCCCTCCAAATAACCACTTGCAGATTCTCCAAAAAAGTGATTCAAAACTGCTCTGTAAAAAGAAAGGTTCAACTCTGTTAGTTGAGTACACCCATCACAAACAAGTTTCTGAGAATGCTTCTGTCTAGTTTTTATGGGAAGATATTTCCTTTTTCACCAAAGTCATCAAAGCGCTCCAAAGGTCCACTTCCAGATACTACAAAAAGATTGTTTCAAACCTGCTCGATGAAAGGGAATGTTCAACTCTGTGACTTGAATGCAGACATCACAAAGCAGTTTCTGAGAATGTTTCTGTATAGGTTTTATATGAAGATATACGCGTTTCCAATGAAATCCACAAAGGCATCCAAATATCCACTTGTAGATTCTACAAAAAGCGTGTTTCCAAACTGCTCTGTCAAACGAAATGTTGAACTCTGTGAGTTGAGGACACACTTCACAAACAAGTTTCTGCGAATGCTTCTGTCTAGTTTTTATGGGAAGATATTTCCTTTTTCATCATAGGCCTGAAAGCGCTCGAAATGTCCACTTCCAGATGTTAAAGAAAGAGTGTTTCAAACCTGCTCTCTGAAAGGGAATGTTCAACTCTGTGACTTAAAAGCAAACATCACAAAGTAGCTTCGGAGAATGCTGCTGTCTACTTTTTATATGTAATCCCGTTTCCAACGATATCCTCAAAGCTATCCAAATGTCCAATTGCAGATTCCACAAAAAGAGCGTTTCAAAGCTTATCTATAAATAGAAAGGTTCAACTCTGTTAGTTGAGTACATACATCACAAAGAAGTTTCTTAGAATGCTTCTGTCTAGTTTTTACGGGAAGAAATTTCCTTTTTCACCAACGGCGTTAAAACTCTCCAAATGTCCACTTCCAGATACTACAAAAAGGGTGTTTCAAACCTGCTCTAAGAAAGGGAATGTTCAACTCTCTGACTTGAATGCAGATATCACAAAGTAGTTTCTGACAGTGTTTTTGTCTAGATTTTATATGAAGATATTCCCGTTTCCAATGAAATCGTTAGAGCTATCTAAATACCCACTTGCAGGTTCTACAAAAAGTGTGTTTCCAAACTGCTGTATCAAAAGAAAGGGTTAACTCTGTTAGTTGAGGGCACACATCACAAAGAAGTTTCTGAGAATGCTTCTGTCCAGATTTTATATGAAGATATTCCCATTTACAATGAAATCCTTAAAGCTATCCCAATATCCAACTGCAGATTCTACAAAAAGAGTGTTTCAAAACTGCTCTGTATAAAGAATGGTTCAACTCTGTTAGTTGAGGACACACATCACAAGTTTCTGAGAACGCTTCTGTCTAGTTTTTTGGGAAAGTATTTCCTTTTTCATCCTGGTCCTAAAAGCGTTCCAAATGTCCACTTCCTGATACTACAAAAAGAGTGTTTCAAACCTGCTCTATGAAAGGGAATGTTCAACTCTGTGCCTTGAAGGCAGTCCTTACAAAGCAGTTTCTGAGAATGCTTCTGTTGAGATTACATACGAAGATATTCCCGTTTCCAACAAAATCCTCAAAGCTATCCAAATATCCACTTGCAGATTCTACAAAAAGTGTGTTTCCAAACTGCTCTGTCAAAAGAAATGTTCAACTCTGTTAGTTGAGTACACACATCACAAACAAGTTTCTGAGAATGCTTCTGTCTAGTTTTTATGGGAAGATATTTCCTTTTTCACCATAGGCGTCAAAGCGCTCAAAATGTCCACTTCCACATACTACAAAAAGAGTGTTTCAAACCTGCTTTATGAAAGGGAATGTTCAACTCTATGAGTTGAATGCAAACATCAGACATAAATTTCTGAGAATGCTGCTGTCTACTTTTTTTATGAATGTCCGCTTCCAAAGAAATCCTCAAAGCAATCCAAATATCTGCTTGCAGATTCCACAAAAAGAGTGTTTCAAAATTGCTCTATCAATAGAAAGGTTGAGCTCTGTTAGTTGAGGACACGCATCACAAAGAAGTTTCTGAGAATGCTGCTGCGTAGATTTTACATGAAGATATTCCCGTTTCCAAAGAAATCCTCAAAGCTATCCAAATATCCTCCTGCAGATTCCACAAAAAGACGGTTTCAAACCTGCTCTAAGAAAGGGAATATTCAACTCTGTGACTTGAATGCAGATATCGCAAAGTTGTTTCTGAGAGTGCTTCTGCCTAGATTTTATTTGAAGTTATTCCCGTCTCCAACGATATCGTGAGAGCTATCCAAATATCCACTTGCAGATTGTACAAAAAGAGTGTTTCAAAACTGCTCTGTATAAAGAATGGTTCAACTCTGTTAGTTGAGGACACACATCACAAGTTTCTGAGTATGCTTCTGTTTGTTTTTATAGGAAGATATTTCCTTTTTCACCGTAGGCTTCAAAGCGCTCCAAATGTCCACATCCAGATACTACAAAAAGAGTGTTTCAAACATGCTCGATGAAAGGGAATGTTCAACTCTGTGACTTGAATGCACACATCAAAAAGCAGTTTCTGAGAATGCTTCTGTCTAGATTTTATATGAAGATATTCCTGTTTCCAACGAAATCTTCAAAGTTATCCAAATATCCACATGCTGATTCTTACAAAAAGAGTGTTTCCAAACTGCTGTATGAAAAGAACAGTTCAACTCTGTTAGTTGAGGACACACATCACAAATAAGTTTCTCAGAATGTTTCTGTCTATTTTTTATGGGAACATATTTCCTTTTTCAACATAGGCCTGAAAGTGCTCGAAATGTCCACTTCCAGATACTACGGAAAGAGTGTTTCAAACCTGCTCTCTGAAAGGGAATGTTCAACTCTATGACTTAAAAGCAAACATCACAAAGAAGCTTCTGAGAATGCTCTTGTCTACTTTTAATATGTAATCCTGTTTCCAACGAAATCCTCAAAGCTATCCAAGTATCCACTTGCAGATTCCACAAAAAGAGCGTTTCCAAACTGATCTATAAATAGAAAGGTTCAACTCTGTTAGTTGAGTTCATACATCTCAAAGAAGTTTCTTAGAATGCTTCCATCTAGTTTTTATGGAAAGACATTTCCTTTTTCACCAAAGGCATCAAAGTGCTCCAAATGTCCAGTTCCAGATACTACAAAAATAGTGTTTCAAACCTGCTCTAAGAAACGGAATGTTCAACTCTGTGACTTGAATGCAGATATCACAAAGTAATTTCTGAGAGTTCTTGTGTCTAGATTTTGGATGAAGATAATCCCCTTTCCAACGAAATCGTTTGAGCTATCGAAATATCCACTTGCAGATTCTACAAAAAGAGTGTTTCCAAACTGCTGTATCAAAAGAAAGGTTGAACTCTGTTAGTTGAGGACACACAACATAAAGAAGTTTCTGAGACTTCTTCTGTCTAGATTTTATATGAATATATTCCCGTTTCCAATGAAATCCTTAAATCTATCCAAATATCCACGTGCAGATTCTGCAAAAAGAGTGTTTCAAAACTGCTCTGCAATAAGAATGGTTCAACTCTGTTAGTTGAGGACACACATCACAAACAAGTTTCTGAGAATGCTTCTGTCTAGTTTTTATGGGAAGATATTTCCTTTTTCACCATAGGCGTCAAAGCGCTCCAAATGTCCACTTCCAGATAGCACAAAAAGAGAGTTTCAAACCTGCTCTATGAAAGGGAAAGTTCAACTCTGTGACTTGAATGTAGACATCAAAAATCAGTTTCTGAGAATGCTTCTGTCTAGATTTTATATGAAGATATTCCCGTTTCCAACAAAATCTTCAAAGTTATCCAAATATCCACTTGCAGATTCTATAAAAGGAGTGTTTCCAAACTGCTGTATCAAAAGAAATGTTCACCTCTGTTAGTTGAGGACACACATCACAAAGAAGTTTCTGAGAATGCTTCTGTCTAGTTTTTATGGGAAGACATTTCCTTTTTCACCAAAGGTGTCAAAGTGCTCCAAATGTCCACTTCCAGATACTACAAAAAGAGTCTTTCAAACCTGCTCTAAGAAAGGGAATGTTCAACTCTGTGACCTGAATGTAGATATCACAAAGTAGTTTCTGAGAGTGCTTCTGTCTAGAGGTTAGATGAAGATATTCCCGTTTCCAACGAAATCCTCCAAGCTATCCAAATATCCACATGCAGATTCTACAGAAAGAGTGTTTCCAAACTGCAGTATCAAAAGAAAGGTTGAACTCTGTTAGTTTAGGACACACATCACAAAGAAGTTTCTGAGAATGCTTCTGTCTAGATTTTATATGAAGATATTTCCGTTTCCAACGAAATCCTGTAAGCTATCCAAATATCCACTTGCAGATTCTACAAAAAGAGTGTTTCAAAACTGCTCTGTCAAAAGAAAGGTTCAATTCTGTTAGTTGAGTACACACATCACAGACAAGTTTCTGAGAATGCTTCTGTCTAGTTTTTATGGGAAGATATTTCCTTTTTCACCCTTGGCATCAAAGCGCTCCAAATGTCCACTTCCAGATACTACAAAAAGAGTGTTTCATAACTGCTCTATGAAAGGGAATGTTAAACTCTGTGACTTGAAAGCACACATCACAAAGCAGTTTCTGAGAATGCTTCTTTCGAGATTATATACGAAGATATTCCCGTTTCCAATGAAATCCTCAGAGCTATCCAAATATCCACTTGCAGATTCTACAAAAAGTGTGTTTCAAAACTGCTCTTTCAAAGGAAAGTTTCAACTCTGTTAGTTGAGTACACACATCACAAACAAGTTTCTGAGAATGCTTCTGTCTAGTTTTTATGAGAAGATATTCCCGTTTCCAATGAAATCCTTAAAGCTATCCAAATATCCACTTGCAGATTCTACAAAAAGGGTCTTTCAAAACTGCTCTGTAAAAAGAATGGTTCAATTCTGTTAGTTGAGGACACACATCACAAACAAGTTTCTGAGAATGATTCTGTCTACTTTTTATGCGAAGATATTTCCTTTTTCACCGTAGGCGTCAAAGCGCTCCAAATGTCCACATCCAGATACTACAAAAAGTGTGTTTCAAACCTGCTCGATGAAAGAAAATGTTCAACTCTGTGACTTGAATGCAGACATCACAAAGCAGTTTCTGAGAATGTTTCTGTCTAGATTTCATATGAAGATACACCCGTTTCCAACGAAATCCACAAAGCTCTCCAAATATCCACTTGCAGATTCTACAAAAGGCGTGTTTCCAAACTACTCTGTCAAACGAAATGTTCAACTCTGTTAGTTGAGGACACACATCAGAAACAAGTTTCTGCGAATGTTTCTGTCTAGTTTTTATGGGAAGATATTTCCTTTTTCACCTTAGGCCAGAAAGCACTCGAAATGTCCACTTGCAGATACTACAGAAAGAGTGTTTCAATCCTGCTCTATGAAAGGGAATGTTCAACTCTGTGACTTAAAAGCAAACATCACAATGTAGCTTCTGAGAATGCTGCTGTTTACTTTTTATGTGTAATCCCGTTTCCAACGAAATCCTCAATGCTATCCAAATATCCACTTGCAGATTCCAGAAAAAGAGTGTTTCAAAACTGATCTATAAATAGAAACGTTCAACTCTGTTAGTTGAGTACATACATCACAAAGAAGTTTCTTAGAATGGTTCTGTCTAGTTTTTATGGGAAGACATTTCCTTTTTCACAAAAGGCATCAAAGCACTCCAAATGTCCACTTCCAGATACTACAAAAAGAGTGTTTCAAACCTGCTCTAAGAAAGGGAATGTTCAACTCTGTGACTTGAATGCAGATATCACAAAGTAGTTTCCGAGAGTGCTTCTGTCTAGATTTTATATGAAGATATTCCGGTTTCCAACGAAATCCACAAAGCTATCAAAATATCCACTTCCAGATTCTACAAAAAGTGTGTTTCTGAACTGCTCATTCAAACGAAACGTTCAACTCTGTTAGTTGAGGACACACATCACAAAGAAGGTTCTGCGAATGCTTCTGTCTAGATTTTATATGAAGATATTCCCGTTTCCAACGATATCATTAAAGGTATCCAAATATCAACTTGCACATTCTAGAAAAATAGTGTTTCAAAGCTGCCCTGTAAAAAGAAAGGTTCCACTGTGTTAGCTGAGTACACACATCACAAACATGTTTCTGAGAATCCTTCTGTCTAGTTTTTATGGGAAGATATTTCCATTTTCACCATAGGCGACAAAGCGCTCCAAATGTCCAGTTCCCGATACTACAAAAAGAGTGTTTCAAACCAGCTCTGTGAAAGGGAATGTTCAACTCTGTGACTTGAATGCAGACATAACAAAGCAGTTTCTCAGAATGCTTTTGTCTAGATTTTATGGGAAGATATTTCCTTTTCCACCATAGGCCTGAAAGCGCTCGAAATGTCCACTTCCAGATACTACAGAAAGAGTGTTTCAAACCTTCTCTATGAAAGGGAATGTTCAACTCTGTGACTTGAATGCAAACACCACAAAGAAGATTCTGAGAATTCTGCTGTCTACTTTTTATATGTATTCCCGTTTCCAACGAAATCCTCAAAGCTGTCCAAATATCCACGTGCATATTCCACAAAAAGAGTGTTTCAAAACTGTTCTATCAATAGAAAGGTTCAACTCTGTTAGTTGACTACATATATCACAAACAAGTTTCTGAGAATGCTTCTGTCTTGTTTTTATGGGGAGATATTTCCTTTTTCACCAAAGGTGTCAAAGAACTCCAAATGTCCACTTCCAGATACTACAAAAAGAGTGTTTCAAAGCTGCTCTATGAAATGGAATGTTCATCTATGTGACTTGAATGCAGATATCACAAAGAAGTTTCTGAGAATGTTTCTGTCTAGATTTTATATGAAGATATTCCCGTTTCCAACGAAATCGTTAAAGCTACCAAATATCCACTTGCAGATTCTACAAAAAGAGTGTTTCCAAACTACTGTATCAAAAGAAAGGTTCAACTCTGTTAGTTGAGTCCACACATCACAAACAAGTTTCTGAGAATGCTTCTGTCTAGTTTTCATTGCAAGATATTTCCTTTTTCACCGTAGGCCTGAAAGCGCTCGAAATATCCACTTCCATATACAACAGAAAGAGTGTTTCAAACCTGCTCTATGAAAGGGAATGTTCAACTCTGTGACTTGAATGCAGACATAACAAAGCAGTTTCTGAGAATGCTTCTGTCTAGATTTTATATGAAGATATTCCCGTTTCCAATGAAATCCTTAAAGCTATCCAAATATCTACTTGCTGATTCTACAAAAAGAGTTTTTCAAACCTTCTCTGTCAAAAAGGTTCAACTCTGTTAGTTGAGTACACACATCACAAACAAGTTTCTGAGAATGCTTCTGTCTAGTTTTTATGGGAATGTATTTCCTTTTTCACCGTAGGCCTCAAAGTGCTCGAAATGTCCACTTCCACATAGTACAAAAAGAGTATTTCAAACCTGCTCTATGAAAGGGAATGTTCAACTCCATGAGTTGAATGGAAACTTCACAAAGAAGTTTCTGAGAATTCTTCTCTCTAGATTTTATATGAAGATATTCCCATTTCCAAGGAAATCTTCAAAGCTATCCAAATATCCACATGTAGATTCTACAAAAAGTGTGTTTCTGAACTGCTGTATCAAAAGAAAGGTTCTACTCTCTTAGTTGAGGACACACATCACAAATAAGGTTCTGAGAATTCTTCTGTCTAGTTTTTTTTTTATTATACTTGAAGTTTTAGGGTACATGTGCACATTGTGCAGGTTAGTTGCATATGTATACATGTGCCATTCTGGTGCGCTGCACCAACTAACTCAGCTTTTTGCATTAGGTATATCTCCCAATGCTATCCCTCCCCCCTCCCCCCACCCCACCACAGTCTCCAGAGTGTGATATTCCCCTTCCTGTGTCCATGTGATCTCATTGTTCAATTCCCACCTATGAGTGAGAATATGCGGTGTTTGGTTTTTTGTTCTTGCGATAGTTTACTGAGAATGATGATTTCCAATTTCGTCCATGTCCCTACAAAGGACATGAACTCATCAATTTTTATGGCTGTGTAGTATTCCATTGTGTATATGTGCCACATTTTCTTAATCCAGTGTATCATTGTTGGACATTTGTGTTGTTTCCAAGTCTTTGCTATTGTGAATACTGCCGCAATAAACATACGTGTGCATGTGTCTTTATAGCAGCATGATTCATAGTCCTTTGGGTATATGCCCAGTAATGGGATGGCTGGGTCAAATGGTATTTCCAGTTCTGGATCCCTGAGGTATCGCCACACTGACTTCCACAATGGTTGAACTAGTTTACAGTCCCACCAACAGTGTAAAAGTGTTCCTATTTCTCCTCATCCTCTCCAGCACCTGTTGTTTCCTGACTTTTTAATGATTGCCATTCTAACTGGTGTGAGATGGTATCTCATTGTGGTTTTGATTTGTATTTCTCTGATGGCCAGTGATGATGAGAATTTTTTCATGTGTTTTTTGGCTGCATAAATGTCTTCTTTTGAGAAGTGTCTGTTCATGTCCTCCGCCCAATTTTTGATGGGTTTGTTTGTTTTTTTCTTGTAAATTTGTTTGAGTTCATTGTAGATTCTGGATATTAGCCCTTTGTCAGATGAGTAGGTTGCGAAAATTTTCTCCCATTTTGTAGGTTGCCTGTTCACTCTGATGGTAGTTTCTTTTGCTGTGCAGAAGCTCTTTAGTTTAATTAGATCCCATTTGTCAATTTTGGCTTTGGTTGCCATTGCTTTTGGTGTTTTGGACATGAAGTCCTTGCCCATGCCTATGTCCTGAATGGTAATGCCTGGGTTTTCTTCTAGGGTTTTTATGGTTTTAGGTCTAACGTTTAGGTCTTTAATCCATCTTGAATTGATTTTTGCATAAGGTGTAAGGAAGGGATCCAGTTTCAGCTTTCTACATATGGCTAGCCAGTTTTCCCAGCACCATTTATTAAATGGGGAATCCTTTCCCCATTGCTTGTTTTTCTCAGGTTTGTCAAAGATCAGATAGTTGTAGATATGCGGTGTTATTTCTGAGGCCTCTGTTCTGTTCCATTGATCTATATCTCTGTTTTGGTACCAGTACCATGCTGTTTTGGTTACTGTAGCCTTGTAGTGTAGTTTGAATTCAGGTAGTGTGATGCCTCCAGCTTTGTTCTTTTGGCTTAGGATTGACTTGGTGATGCGGGCTCTTTTTTGGTTCCATATGAACTTTAAAGTAGTTTTTACCAATTCTGTGAAGAAAGTCATTGGTAGCTTGATGGGGATGGCATTGAATCTGTAAATTACCTTGGGCAGTATGGCCATTTTCATGATATTGATTCTTCCTACCCATGAGCATGGAATGTTCTTCCATTTGTTTGTATCCTCTTTTATTTCCTTGAGCAGTGGTTTGTAGTTCTCCTTGAAGAGGTCCTTCACATCCCTTGTAAGTTGGATTCCTAGGTATTTTATTCTCTTTGAAGCAATTGTGAATGGGATTTCACTCATGATTTGGCTCTCTGTTTGTCTTTTGTTGGTGTATAAGAATGCTTGTGACTTTTGTACATTGATTTTGTATCCTGAGACTTTGCTGAAGTTGCTTATCAGCTTAAGGAGATTTTGGGCTGAGACAATGGGGTTTTCCAGATATACAATCATGTCATCTGCAAACAGGGACAATTTGACTTCCTCTTTTCCTAATTGAATACCTTTTATTTCCTTCTCCTGCCTAATTGCCCAGGCCAGAACTTCCAACACTATGTTGAATAGGAGTGGTGAGAGAGGGCATCCCTGTCTTGTGCCAGTTTTCAAAGGGAATGCTTCCAGTTTTTGCCCATTCAGTATGATATTGGCTGTGGGTTTGTCATAGATAGCTCTTATTATTTTGAAATACATCCCATCAATACCTAATTTATTGAGAGTTTTAGCATGAAGGTTGTTGAATTTTGTCAAAGGCTTTTTCTGCATCTATTGAGATAATCATGTGGTTTTTGTCTTTGGCTCTATTTATATGCTGGACTACATTTATTGATTTGCGTATATTGAACCAGCCTTGCATCCCAGGGATGAAGCCCACTTGATCATGGTGGATAAGCTTTTTGATGTGCTGCTGGATTCTTTTTGCCAGAATTTTGTTGAGGATTTTTTCATCAATGTTCATCAAGGATATTGGTCTAAAATTCTCTTTTTTGGTTGTGTCTCTGCCAGGCTTTGGTATCAGAATGATGCTGGCCTCATAAAATGTGTTAGGGAGGATTCCCTCTTTTTCTATTGATTGGAATAGTTTCAGAAGGAATGGTACCAGTTCCTCCTTGTACCTCTGGTAGAATTCGGCTGTGAATCCATCTGGTCCTGGACTCTTTTTGGTTGGTAAACTATTGATTATTGCCACAATTTCAGCACCTGTTATTGGTGTATTCAGAGATTCAACTTCTTCCTGGTTTAGTCTTGGGAGAGTGTATGTGTTGAGGAATTTATCCATTTCTTCAAGATTTTCTAGTTTATTTGCATAGAGGTGTTTGCAGTATTCCCTGATGGTAGTTTGTATTTCTGTGGGATTGGTGGTGGGATCCCCTTTTTCATTTTTTATTGTGTCTATTTGATTCTTCTCTCTTTTTTTCTTTATTAGTCTTGCTAGTGGTCTATCAATTTTGTTGATCCTTTCAAAAAAATGAATCCAGATCCTGGATTCATTAATTTTTTGAAGGGTTTTTTGTGTCTCTATTTCCTTCAGTTCTGCTCTGATTTTGGTTATTTCTTGCCTTCTGCTAGCTTTTGAATGTGTTTGTTCTTACTTTTCTAGTTCTTTTAATTGTGATGTTAGGGTGTCAATTTTGGATCTTTCCTGCTTTCTCTTGTGGGCAATTTAGTGCTATAAATTTCCCTCTACACACTGCTTTGAATGCATCCCAGAGATTCTGGTATGTTGTGTCTTTGTTCTCGTTGGCTTCAAAGAACATCTTTATTCCTGCCTTCATTTCGTTATGTATCCAGTAGTCATTCAGGAGCAGGTTGTTCAGTTTCCATGTAGTTGAGTGGTTTTGAGTGAGATTCTTAATCCTGAGTTCTAGTTTGATTACACTGTGGTCTGAGAGATAGTTTGTTATAATCTCTGTTCTTTTACATTTGCTGAGGAGAGCTTCACTTCCAAGTATGTGGTCAATTTTGGAATAGGTGTGGTGTGGTGCTGAAAAAAATGTATATTCCGTTGATTTGGGGTGGAGAGTTCTGTAGATGTCTATTAGGTCCCCTTGGTGCAGAGCTGAGTTCAATTCCTGGGTATCCTTGTTGACTTTCTGTCTAGTAGATCTGCCTAATGTTGACAGTGGGGTGTTAAAGTCTCCCATTATTAATGTGTGGGAGTCTAAGTCTCTTTGTAGGTCACTCAGGACTTGCTTTATGAATCTGGGTGCTCCTGTATTGGGTGCATATATATTTAGGATAGTTAGCTCTTCTTGTAGAATTGATCCCTTTACCATTATGTAATGGCCTTCTTTGTCTCTTTTGATCTTTGTTGGTTTAAAGTCAATCAGAGACTAGGATTGCAACCCCTGCCTTTTTTTTGTTTTCCATTTGCTTAATATATCTTCCTCCATCCCTTTATTTTGAGCCTATGTGTGTCTCTGCACGTGAGATGGTTTTCCTGAATACAGCACACTGATGGGTCTTGACTCTTTATCCAATTTGCCAGTCTGTGTCTTTTAATTGGAGCATTTAGTCCATTTACATTTAAAGTTAATATAGTTATGTGTGAATTTGATCGTGTCATTATGATGTTAGCTGGTTATTTTGTTCGTTAGTTGATGCAGTTTCTTCCTAGTCTCGATGGTCTTTATATTTTGGCATGATTTTGCAGCCGCTGGTACCGGTTGTTCCTTTCCATGTTTAGCGCTTCCTTCAGGAGCTCTTTTAGGGCAGGCCTGGTGGTGACAAAATCTCTCAGCATTTGCTTGTCTGTAAAGTATTTTATTTCTCCTTCACTTATGAAGCTTAGTTTGGCTGGATATGAAATTCTGGGTTGAAAATTCTTTTCTTTAAGAATGTTGAATATTGGCCCCCACTCTCTTCTGGCTTGTAGGGTTTCTGCCGAGAGATCCGCTGTTAGTCTGATGGACTTCCCTTCGATGGAAACCCGACCTTTCTCTCTGGCTGCCCTTAACACTTTTTCCTGCATTTCAACTTTGGTGAATCTGACAGTTATGTGTCTTGGAGTTGCTCTTCTCTAGGAGTATCTTTGTGGCGTTCTCTGTATTTCCTGAATCTGAACGTTGGCCTGCCTTGCTAGATTGGGGAAGTTCTCCTGGATAATATCCTGTAGAGTGTTTTCCAACTTGGTTCCATTCTCCCCATCACTTTCAGGTACACCAATCAGACGTAGATTTGGTCTTTTCACATAGTCCCATATTTCTTGGAGGCTTTGCTCATTTCTTTTTATTCTTTTTTCTCTAAACTTCCCTTCTCACTTCATTTCATTTATTTCATCTTCCACTGCTGATACGCTTTCTTCCAGTTGATCGCATCGGCTCCTGAGGCTTCTGCATTCTTCACGTAGTTCTCGAGCCTTGGTTTTCACCTCCATCAGCTCCGTTAAGCACTTCTCTGTATTGGTTATTCTAGTTATACATTCTTCAAAAATTTTTTCAAAATTTTCAACTTCTTTGCCTTTGGTTTGAATGTCCTCCCGTAGCTCAGAGTAATTTGATCGTCTGAAGCCTTCTTCTCTCAGCTCATCAATGTTCTCCATCCAGCTTTGTTCCGTTGCTGGTGAGGAACTGTGTTCCTTGGAGGAGGAGAGGTGCTCTGTGTTTTAGAGTTTCCAGTTTTTCTGTTCTGTTTTTTCCCCATCTTTGTGGTTTTATCTACTTTTGGTCTTTGATGATGGTGATGTACAGATGGGTTTTTGGTGTGGATGTCCTTTGTGTTTGTTAGTTTTCCTTCTAACAGACAGGACCCTCAGCTGCAGGTCTGTTGGAATACCCTGCCATGTGAGGTGTCAGTGTGCCCCTGCTGGGGGGGTGCCTCCCAGTTAGGCTGCTCGGGGGTCAGGGGTTAGTGACCCACTTGAGGAGGCAGTCTGCCCGTTCTCAGATGTCCAGCTGCATGCTGGGAGAACCACTGCTCTCTTCAAAGCTGTCAGACAGGGACATTTAAGTCTGTAGAGGTTACTGCTGTCTTTTTGTTTGTCTGTGCCCTGCCCCCAGAGGTGGAGCCTACAGAGGCAGGCAGGCCTCCTTGAGCTGTGTTGGGCTCCACCCAGTTCGAGCTTCCTGGCTGCTTTGTTTACCTAAGCAAGCCTGGGCAATGGCGGGCGCCCCTCCCTCAGCCTCACTGCCGCCTTTGCAGTTTGATCTCAGACTGCTGTGCTAGCAATCAGCGAGACTCCGTGGGCGTAGGACCATCCGAGCCAGGTGTGGGATATAATCTCGTGGTGCGCAGTTTTTTAAGCCAGTCCGAAAAGCGCAGTATTCGGGTGGGAGTGACCCGATTTTCCAGGTGGGTCCGTCACCCTTTCTTTGACTCGGAAAGGGAACTCCCTGACCCCTTGCTCTTCCCAAGTGAGGCAATGCCTCGCCCTGCTTCTGCTCGTGCACGGTGCGCATACCCACTGACCCACGCCCACTGTCTGGCACTCCCTAGTGAGATGAACCTGGTAACTAAGATGGAAATGCAAAAATCACCTGTGTTCTGCGTCGCTCACGCTGGGAGCTGTAGACCTGAGCTGTTCCTATTCGGCCCTCTTGGCTCCTCCCCCTGTCTAGTTTTTATGGGAATATATTTCCTTTTTCACCATAGTCCTGAAAGGGCTTGAAATGTCCAATTCCAGATACTACAGAAACAGTGTATCAAACCTGCTCTATGAAAGGGAATGTTCAACTCTGTGACTTGAATGCAAACATCACAAAGATGTTTCTGAGAATGCTGCCACTTTTTATATGTATTCCCGTTTCCAACGAAATCCTCAAAGCTATCCAAATATCCACTTGCAGATTCCACAAAAAGATTGTTTCAAAACTGCTCTATCAATAGAAAGGTTCAACTCTGTTGGTTGACTACATACATCACAAACAAGTTTCTGAGAATGCTTCTGTCTAGTTTTTATGAGAAGATATTTCCTTTTTCACGACAGGCGTAAAAGCGCTCCAAATATCCACTTCCAGATACTACAAAAAGAGTGTTTCAAACCTCCTCTATGAAAGGGAATGTTCAACTCTGTGGCTTGAATGCAGATATCACAAAGAAGCTTCTGAGATTGCTTCTGCCTAGATTTTATATGAAGATATTCCCGTTTCCAACGAAATCGTTAAAGCTATCCAAATATCCACTTGCAGATTCTACAAAAAGAGTGTTTCAAAACTGCTCTGTCAAAACAAAGGTTCAACTCTGTTAGTTGAGTACACACATCACAAACAAGAGGACACACAACACAAATCAGTTTCTCAGAATGCTTCTGTCTAGTTTTTATGGGAAGATATTTCCTTTTTCACCATAGGCCTCAAAGCGCTCCAAATGTCCACTTCCATATACTACAAAAAGAGTGCTTCAAACCTGCTCTATGAAAGGGAAGGTTCAACCCTGTGACTTGAATGCAGACATCACAAAGAAGTTTCCGAGAATGCTTCTGTCTAGATTTTATATGAAGATATTCCCGTTTCCAACAAAATCCTCAAAGCTATCCAATTATCCACTTGTAGATTCCACAAAAAGAGTGTTTCAAAACAGCTCTATCAATAGAAAGTTTCAACTCTGTTAGTGGAGTACACACATTCTAAACAAGTTTCTGAGAATGCTTCTGTCTAGTTTTTATGGGAAGATATTTCCTTTTTCACCATAGGCGTCAAAGCGCTCCAAATGTTCACTTCCAGATACTACAGAAAGAGTGTTACAAACCTGCTCTATGAAAGGGAATGTTCAACTCTTTGACTTGAATGCAGACATCACAAAGCAGTTTCTGAGAATGCTTCTGTCTAGATTTTATATGAAGATATTCCCGTTTCCAAAGAAATCGTTAAAACTATCCAAATATCCACTTGCAGATTCCACAAAAAGACTGTTTCCAAACTGATCTATCAATAGAAAGGTTCAACTCTGTTAGTTGAGTACACACATCACAAACAAGTTTCTGAGAATGCTTCCTTCTAATTTTTATGGGAAGATATTTCCTTTTTCACCGTAGGCCTCAATGCACTCTAAATGTCAACTTCCACATACTACAAAAAGAGTGTTTCAAACCTGCTCTATGGAAGGGAATGTTCAACTCTGTGACTTGAATGCTGACATCTCAAAGAAGTTTCTGAGAATGCTGCTGTCTACTTTTGATATGAAGATATTCCCGTTTCCAACGAAATCCTCAAGGCTATACAAATATCCACTTGCAGATTCCACAAAAAGAGTGTTTCAAAACTGCTCTATCAAAAGAAACGTTCAACTCTGTTAGTTGGGTACACACATCACATACAAGTTTCTAAGAATGCTTCTGTCTAGTTTTTATGGGAAGATATTTACTTTTTCACCATAGGCCAAAAAGCGCTCTAAAAGTCCACTTCCAGATACTACAAAAAGAGTGTTTCAAACCTGCTCTGTAAAAGGGAGTGTTTAACTCTCTGACTTGAATGCAAACATCACAAAGTAGTTTCTTAGAATGCTGCTGTCTACTTTCTATAGTAACATATACCCTTTTCCAACAAAATCCTCAAAGCTGTCCAAATATCCACTTGCAGATTCCACAAAAACAGTGTTTCAATACTGCTCTACCAATAGAAAGGTTCAGCTCTGTTGGTTGAGTACACACATCGTAAACAAGTCTCTGAGAATGTTTCTATCTAGTTTTCATTGGAAGATATTTCCTTTTTCACCATAGGCCTCAAAGCGCTCAAAATGTCCACTTCCAGATACTACAAAAAAAGTGTTTCAAACCTGCTCTATGTAAGAGAATGTTCAACTCTATGACTTGAATGAAAACATCACAAGGAAGTTTCTCAGAATTCTTCTGTCTAGATTTTTTATGAAGATATTCCGGCTTCCAACGAAATCCTCAAAGCTATTCAAATATCCACTTGCAAATTCCATGAGAAGAGTTTTTCAAAACTGCTATATCGAAACAAAGTTAAACTCTGTTAGTTGAGGAAACACAGTATAAATAAGTTTCTGAGAGAGCTTCTATCTATTTTTATGGGAAGATATTTCCTTTTTCACCATAGGCGTCAAAGCGCTGCAAATGTCCACTTCCAGATACTACAAAAAGAGTGCTTCAAACCTTTTCTATGAAAGGGATTGTTCACCTCTGTGACTTGAATTCAAACATCATAAAGGGGTTTCTGAGAATGCTTCTGTCTAGATTTTATATGAAGATATTCCCGTTTCCAACGAAATCCTCAAAACTATACAAATATCCACTTGCAGATTCCACAAAAAGAGTGTTTCAAAACTACTGTATCAATAGAAAGGTTCAACTCTGTTAGTTGAATATACACATCATAAACAAGTTTCTTAGAATGCTTCTGTCTAGTTTTTATGGGACGATATTTCCTTTTTCATCATAGGACTCAAAGAGCTCCAAATGTCCACTTCCGGATACTACAAAAAGGGTATTTTAAACCTGCTCTATGAAAGTGAATGTTCAACTCTGTGACTTGAATGCAAACATCACAAAGAACTTTCTGAGAATGCTTCTGTCTAGATTTTATATGAAGTTTTTTCTGTTTCCAACAAAATCCTCAAAGCTATCCAAATATCCACTTGGAGATTCTACAAATGGAGTGTTTCCAAACTGCTGTATCAAAAGAAAGGGTCAACTCTGGTAGTTGAGGACACACATCACAAATAAGTTTCTCAGAATGCTTCTGTCTAGTTTTTATGGGAAGATATTTCCTTTTTCACCATAGGCCTCAAAGCGCTCCAAACGTCCACTTCCAGACACTACAAAAAGAGTGTTTCAAACCTGCTCTATGAAAGAGAATGTTCAACTCTGTGACGTGAATGCGAACATCACAAAGGTGTTTCTCAGAATGTTTCTGTCTAGATTTTCTAAGAAGACATTACCATTTCCAAAGAAATTCCTCAAAGCTATCCAAATATCCACTTGCAGATTCTACAAAAACAGTGTTTCAAAGGCGTTCTATCAAAAGAAAGGTTCAACTCCGTTAGTTGAGTACACATATCACAAACATGATTCTGAGAATGCTTCTGTCTAGTGTTTATGGGAAGATATTTCTTTTTTCACCATAGGCCTGAAAGCGCTCTAAATATCCACTTCCAGATTCTACAAAAAGAGTGTTTCAAATCTGCTCTATGAAAGGGAATGTTCAACTCTATGGCTTGAATGTCTACATCACAAAGAGTTTTCTCAGAATGCTTCTGTGTAGATTTCATACGAAGATATTCCTGTTTCCATCGAAATCCTCAAAGCTATCCAAATATCCACTTTCAGATTCTACAAAAAGAGTGTTTCAAAACTGCTCTATCAAAAGAAATGTTCAACTCTCCTAGTTGAGTACACACATCCTAAACAAGTTTCTGAGAAAGCTTCCATCTAGTTTTTATGGGAAGATATTTCATTTCTCACCATAGGCCTCAAAGCGCTCCAAATGTTCAGTTCCAGATTCTACAAAATCAGTGTTTCAAACCTTCTCTGTGAAAGGGAATTTTCAACTCTGAGACTTGAATGGAAACATCACAGAGATGTTTCTGAGACGGCTTCTGTCCAGATTTTAGAGGAAGATATTCCCGTTTCCAACGAAATCCTCAAAGCTATCCAAATATACACTTGCAGACTCTACAAAAAGAGTGTTTCAAAACTGCTCTATCAAAAAATGGTTCAACTCTGTTAATTGATTACACACATCTCAAACTAGTTTCTGAGAATGCTTCTGTGTAGTTTTTATGGGAAGATATTTCCTTTTTCACCATAGGCCACAAATCGCTCAAAATGTCCAGTTCCAGATACTACAAATCAGTGTTTCAAACCTGGCCTATGAAAGGGAATGTTCAACTCTGTGACTTCAATGCCAACATGACAAAAAAGTTTCTCAGAATGCTTCTATTTAGATTTCATATGAAGATAATCCCGTTTCCAATGAAATCCACAAAGTTATCTAAATATCAACTAGCAGATTCTATAAAAAGGTTGTTTCAAAACTGATCTATCAAAAGAAAGGTTCAACTCTCTTAATTGAGTACACACATCCTAAACAAGTTTCTGAGAATACTTCTACCTTGTTTTTATGGGAAGATACTTCCTTTCTCACCATAGGCATCAAAGCACTCCAAATGTCCGGTTCCAGATACTAAAAAATCAGTGTTTCAAACCTGCTCAATGAAAGGGAATGTTCAACTCTGTGACTTGAATGGAAACATCACAGAGATGTTTCTGAGAATGCTTCCGTCTAGATTGTATATGAAGATATTCCCGTTTCCAACGAAATCCTCAAACCTATCCAAATATTCACAGATTCTAGAAAAAGAGTTTTTCAAAACTGCTCTATGAAAAGAAAGGTTCAACTCTGTTAGTTGAGTGCACACATCACAAACAAGTTTCTAAGAATGCTTCTGTGTAGTTTTTATGGGAAGATATTTCCTTTTTCACCATAGGCCACAAGGCGCTCTGATGTCCAGTTCCAGATACTACAAAATCAGTGTTTCAAACCTGCTCTATGAAAGCGAATGTTCAACTCTTTGATTTGAAAGCAAACATCACCGAGATGCTTCTGACAATGCTTCTGTCTAGATTTTATATGAAGATATTCCGGTTTCCAACGAAATCTTCAAAGCTATCCAATTATCCACTTGCAGATACTACAAAAAGAGTGTTTCAAAACTGCTCTATCAAAAGAAAGGTTCTACTCTCTTAGTTGAGTACACGCATCACAAACAAGATTATGAGAATGCTTCTGTCTAGTTTTTAAGGGAATATATTTATTTTTTCACCATAGTACCCATAGAGTGTTTCAAACCTGTTCTATGAAAGGGATTGTTCTACTCTGTGACTTGAATGCAAACATCCCAAAGACGTTTCTGAGAATGCTTCTGTCTAGATTTTATATGAAGATATTCCCGTTTCCAATGAAATCCTGAAAGCTATCCAAATATCCACTTTCAGATTTTACAAAAAGAGCGTTTCAAAACTGCTCTATGAAAAGAAAGCTTCAACTCTGTTAGTTGAGTACATACATCACAAACTAGTTTCTGAGAATGCTTCTGTCTAGTCTTTATCGGAAGATATTTCCTTTTTCACCATAGGCCACAAAGTACTCCAAATGTCCACTTCCAGATACTACAAAACCAGTGTTTCAATCCTGCTCTATGAAAGGGAATGTTCAACTCTTTGACTTGAATGCAAACATCACAGAAATGTTTCTGAGAATGCTTCTGTCTAGATTTTATAGGAAGATAATCCCGTTTCCAACGAAATCCTCAAAGCTATACAAATATCCAATTGCAGATTCTACAAAAAGAGTGTTTCCAAACTGCTGTATCAAAAGACAGGTTGTACTCTGTTAGTTGAGGACACGCATCACAAAGTAGTTTCTGAGAATTCTTCTGCCTAATTTTTATTGGAAGATATTTCCTTTTTCACCATAGGCCTCAAAGCGATCCAATTGTCCAGTTCCAGATACGACAAAAAGAGTGTTTCAAACCTGCTCGATGAAAGGGAATGTTCAACTCTGTTACTTGAATGCAAACATTCCAACGATGTTTCTGAGAATGCCTCTGTCTAGATTTTATATGGAGATATTCCCGTTTCCAGCGAAATCCTCAAAGCTGTCCAAATATCCACTTGCAGACTCTACAAAAACAGTGTTTCAAAACTGCTCTATCAAAAGAAAGGTTGAACTCTGTTAGTTGAGTACACTCATCCTAAGCAAGTTTCTGAGAATGCTTCTATCTAGTTTTTATGGGAAGATATTTCCTTTCTCGCCATAGGCCTCAAAGTGCTCCAAATGTCCAGTGGCAGATACTTCAAAATCAGTGTTTGAAACCTGCTCTATGAAAGGGAATGTTCGACCCTGTGACTTGAATGCAAACATCACACAGATGTTTCTGAGAATGCTTCTGTGTAGATTTTATATGAAGGTATTCCCGTATCCAACGAAATCGTTAGAGCTATCCAAATATCCACTTGCAGATTCTACAAAAAGACTGTTTCATAACTGCTCTATCAAAAGAAAGGTTCAATACTGTTAGTTGAGTACACAAGTAACAAACAAGTTTATGAGAATGCTTCTGTCTAGTTTTTGTGGAAAGATGTTTCCTTTTTCAGCATAGACTTCAAAGCGATCCAGATGTGAACTTCCAGATACTACAAAGAGTGTTTCAAACTTGCTCTATGAAAAGAAATGTTCAACTCTGAGACTTGAATGCAAACATCCAAAAATGTTTCTGAGAATCCTTCTGTCTAGATTTTATATGAAGGTATTCCCGTTTCCAACGAAATCCTCAAAGTTGTCAAATATCCACTTGCTGATTCTACAAAAAGAGTGTTTCAAAACTACTCTATCAACAGAAAGTTTCACCTCTGTTAGTTGAGTACACACATCCTAAACAAGTTTCTGAGAATGCTTCTGTCTAGTTTTTAGGGAAGATATTTCCTTTCTCATCATAGGCCTCAAAACGCTCAACATGTGCACTTCCAGATACTACAAAAAGAGTGTTTCAAACCCGCGCTATGAAAGGGAATGTTCAACTCTGTGACTTGAATGCAAACATCCCAAAGATGTTTCTGAGAATGCTTCGATCTAGATTTTATAGGAAGATATACCCGTTTCCAACCAAATCCTCAAAGCTAACCAAATATCCACTTGCAGATTCTACGAAAAGAGTGTTTCAAAACTGCTCTATGAAAAGATAGGTTCAACCCTGTTAGTTGAGTGCACACATCACAAACTACTGTCCGAGAATGCTTCTGTCTAGTTTTTATTGAAAGATATTTCCATTTTCACCATAGGCCACAAAGTGATCCAATTATACACTTCCAGATACTACAAAATCAGTGTTTCAAACCTGTTCTATGAAAAGAAATTTTCAACTCTGTGACTTGAATGCAAACATCACAAAGAAGTTTCTGATAATGCTTCTGTCTAGATTTTATATGAAGATATTCCCGTTTCCAACGAAATTCTCAAAGCTATCCAAATATCCACTTGCAGATTCTTCAAAAAGAGTGTTTCAAAACTGCTCTATCAAAAGAAAGGTTCAACTCTGTGAGTTGAGTACACACATCACATACTACTTTCTGAGAATGCTTCTGTCTAGTTTTTATGTGAAGATACTTCCTTTTTCACCATAGGCCACAAAGTGCTCCAAATGTCCAGTTCCAGATACTACAAAATCAGTATTTCAAACCTGCTCTATGAAAGAGAATGTTCAATTCTGTGACTTGAATGCAAACTTCACAGAGATGTTTCTGAGAATGCTTCTGTCTACAATTTAAGTGAAGATATTCCCGTTTCCAACGAAATCCTCAAAGCTATCCAAATATCCCCTTGCAGATTCTACAAAAAGAGTGTTTCAAAACTGCTCTAAGAAAAGAAAGGTTCAACTCTGTTAGTTGAGTACACACATCACAAACAATTTTCTGAGAATGCTTCTGTCTAGTTTTTATGGGAAGATATTTCCTTTTTCACCAAAGGCCTCAAAGCGCTCCAAATGTCTAGTTACAGATACTACAAAATCAGTGTTTCAAACGTGCTCTATCAAAGGGAATGTTCATCTCTGTGACTTGAATGTAAACATCACAGAGATGTTTCTGAGAATGCTTCTGTCTAGATTTTATATGAAGATATTACTGTTTCCAACGAAATCCACAAAGCTATCCAAATATCCACTTGCAGATTCTACAAAAAGAGTGTTTCAAAACTGCTCTATCAAAAGAAAGGTTCAACTTTGTTAGTTGAGTACACACATAACAAACTAGTTTCTGAGAATGCTTCTGTCTAGTTTTTATGGGAATATATTTCCTTTTCCACCATAGGCCTCAAAGGGATCCGAATGTCCACTTCCAGATACTACAAAAAGAGTGTTTCAAACCTGCTCTATGAAAATGAATGTTCAACTCTGTGAGATGAATGCCAGCATCAAGAAGAAGTTTCTGAGTATGTTTCTGTCTAGTTTCTAAGTGAAGATATTCCCGTTTCCAACAAACCGTTAAAGCTATCCAAATATCCACTTGCAGATTCTATAAAAACTGAGTTTCAAAACCGCTCTGTAAAAAGAAAATTTAAACTCTGAGAGTTGGGTACACACATCGCAAAATAGTTTCTGAGAGTTCTTCTGTCTAGTTTTTATGGGAAGATATTTCCTTTTACACCGTAGGCCTCAAAGCGTTCCAATTTACCACTTACACATTCTACAAAAAAAGAGTTTCAAAACTGCTCTATGAAAAGGAATGCTCAACTCTGTCAGTTGAATGCAAACATCACAGGGAAGTTTCTGAGAATGCTCCTGTCTAGTTCTTATGTGAAGATATACCTGTTTCCAGAGTAGGCCTCAAAGCTGTCCAAATATCCACTTGCAAATTCTACAAAAGATAGTTTCCAATCTGCTCTATCAAAAGAATGTTTCAACTTTTTGAGTTGAATGCACACATCACAAGGAAGTTTCTGAGAATTCTTCTGTCTAGTTTTTATTGGAAGATATTTCCTTTTTCAGCATATGCCTCAAAGAGCTCCAAGTTTCCACTTACAAATTCTTCAAAAAGAGTGTTTCAAAACTGCTCTATGAAAAGGAATGTTCAACTCTGTGAGTTGAATATAAGCATCACAAAAAAATTTCTGAGGATGCTTCTATCTAGTTTTTATGTGAAGACATTCCCGTTTCCAACGAAAGCCTCAAAGCTACCTAAATATCCACTTGCAGATTCTACAAAAAGAGTGTTTCCAAACTGCTGTATCAAAAGAAAGGTTCAACTCCGTGAGTTGAGTACACACATAACAAAGAAGTTTCTGAGAATGCTTTTGTCTAGTTTTTATGTGAAGATATTTCCTTCTTCACCATAGGCCTCAAATCGCTCCAAATGTCCACTTCCAGATACTACAAAAAATGTGTTTCAAAACTGCTCTATGTAAGCGAATTTTCAAATCTGTGAGTTGAATGCAAACATCACAAAGAAGTTCCTGAGAATGCTTCTGTCTAGTTTTTATGTGAAGGCATTCCCGTTTCCTACGAAATCCTCAAAGCTATCCAAATATCCACTTGCAGTTTCTACAAAAAGAGTGTTTCAAAACTGCTCTTTCAAAAGAAAAGTTCAACTGTGTGAGTTGGGTACACACCTCACAAAGAAGTTTCTGTGAATTCTTATGTCTATTTTGTATGGGAAGATATTTTCTTTTTTATCATAGACCTCAAAGCCCTCCAAAGTTCCACTTACATATTCTACAAAAAAAGTGTTTCAAAACTGGTCTGTGAAAAAAAATGTTCACTTCTGTGAGTTGAATTCATGCATCACAAAGAAGTTTCTGACAATGCTTCTTTGTAATTTTTATGTGAAGATATACCCGTTTCCAGCAAAGGCCTCCAATCTGTCCAAATATCCACTTCCAAAATCTACAAAAAGATTGTTTCCAATCTGCTCTATCAAAAGAAAATTTCAACTCTGTGAGTTGAATGCACACATCACAAAAAAGTTTCTGAGAATGCTTCTGTCTAGTTTTTTGTGAAGATATTCCCATTTCCAAAGAAATCCTCAATGCTGTCTTAGTATCTACTTGTAAATTCTACAAGAAAAGTGTTACAAAACTGCTGAATCTAAGGAAAGGTCTCACTCTGTGAGTTGAGTACACACATCACAAAGTAGTTTCTGAGAATGCTTCTGTCTACTTTTTATGTGAAGATATTTCTTTTTTCACCATAGGTCTCAAATCGCTCCAAATATCCACTTGCAGATTCCTCAAAAAGAGTGTTTCAAAACTCCTCTATGAATAGGAATTTTCAACTCTGTGAGATGAATGCAAGCATCACAAATAAGTTTCTGAGAATGCTTCTCTCTAGTTTTTATGTGAAGATATTCCCGTTTCCAACGAAATCCTCAAAGCCATCCAAATATCCACTTGCACACTCTCCAAAGGAGTGTTTCAAAACTGCTCTATCAAAAGAAAAGTTCAAGTCTGTGAGTTGAATACACACATCACAAGGAAGTATCTGAGAATTGTTCTGTCTAGTTTTTATTGGAAGATGTTTCCTTTTTCAGCATATGCATCAAAGAGCTCCAAGTTTCCACTTACAGATTCTTCAAAAAGAGTGTTTCAAAACTGCTCTATGAAAAGGAATGTTCAACTCTGTGAGTTGAATACAAGCATCACAAAAAAGTTTCTGAGAATGTTTCTGTCTAGTTTTTATGTGAAGACATTCCCGTTTCCAACGAAAGCCTCAAAGCTATCGAAGTATCCACTTGCAGATTATACTAAAAGAGTGTTTCAAAACTGCAGTATCAACAGAAAGGTTCAACTCTTTGAGTTGGGTACACAAATCACAGAGAAGTTTCTGAGAATGCTTCTGTGTACTTTTTATGTGAATATATTTCCTTTTTCAGCATAGGCCTCAAAGTGCTCCAAATGTCCGTTTCCAGGTACTACAAAAAGAGTGTTTCAAAACTGCTCTATGAAAGGGAAAGTTCAACTCTGTGAGTTGAATGCAAACATCCTGAAGAAGTTTCTGAGAATGCTTCTGACTATTTTTTATGTGAAGATATTCCCGTTTCCAACAAAATCCACAAAGCTATCCAAATATCCACTAGCAGATTCTACAAAAAGAGTGTTTCAAAACTTATCTCTCAAAAGAAAAGTTCAACTCTGTGAGTTGAGTACACACATCACAGAGAAGTTTCTGAGAATTCTTCTGTCTAGTTTTTACGGGAAGATATTTCCTTTTTCACCATGGGCCTCAAAGCGCTCCAAATGTTCACTTCCAGATATTACAAAAACAGTGTTTCAAAACTGCTCTATGATAGGGAATGTTCAACTCTCTGAATTGAATACAAACATCACAAAGAAGTTTCTGAGAAATGTTCTATCGAGTTTTAGTGTGAAGATATTTCCGTTTCCAACAAAAGGCACAAAGCGTGCCAAATGTGCACTTGCAGATTCCACAAAAAGAGTGTTTCAAAACTGCTCTAACAAAAGAAAGGTTCAAATATGTGAGTTGAGTGCACACTTCACAAATAAGTTTCTGAGAATGCTTCTGTCCTAGTTTTTATGTTATTTCGTGTTTCACAATAGACCACAAAGCGCACCAAATGTCCACTTGCAGATTCTACAAACAGAGTGTTTCAAAACTGCTGTATCAAAAGAAAGGTTCAACTCTGTGAGTTGAATGCACACATCACAAAGATGTTTCTGATAATGATTCTGTCTAGTTTTTATGTGGAGATATTCCCGTTTCGAACGAAGGCCTCAAAGTGCTACAAATGACAACTTGCAGATTCTGCAAAAAGAGTGTTTCAAAACTGCTCTATGAAAATAAATGTTCAACTCTGAGAGTTGAATGCAAACATCACAAAGAAGTTTCTGAGAATGCTTCTGTCTGGTTTTTATGTGAAGCTATTACCGTTTCCAACGAAAGCCTCAAAGATGTCCTAATATCCACTTGTGAATTCTACAAGAAGAGTGTTTCAAAAGTGCTCTTTCAAAGGAAAGGTTTAACACTGTGAGTTGAGTACACACATCACAAAGCAGTTTCTTAGCATGCTTCTGTCTAGTTTTTATGTGAAGATATTTCCTTTTTCACCATAGGCCTCAAAGCGCTCCAAATGTCCACTTCCAGATACTGCAAAAAGAGTGTTACAAAACTGCTCTATGAAAGGGAATGTTCAACTCTGTGAGTTGAATGCAAACATCAAAAAGAAGTTTCTGAGAACGCTTCTGTCTAGTTTTTATGTGAAGATATTCCCGTTTCGAACGAAGGCCACAAAGCGCTCCAAATGTCCACCTGCAGATTCCAGAAAAAGAGTGTTTCAAATCTCCTCTATCAAAAAAATGGTTAAACTCTGTGAGTTGAGTGCACACATCACAAAGAAGTTTCTGTGAATTCTTGTGTGTAATTTTTATGGGAAGATATTTCCTTTTTCACGATACACCTCAAAGAGCTCCAAACGTCCACTTGCAGATACTACAAAAAGTGTGTTTCAAAACTGCCCTATGGAAAGGAATGTTCAACTCCGTGAGTTGAATGCAATCATCAAAAACAACTTTCTGAGTATGCTTCTGTCTAGTTTTTATGTGAAGATATTCCCGTTTCCAGCGAAGGCCTCAAAGCTGTCCAAATATCCACTTGCAAATTCTACAAAAAGAGTTTTTCAAATCTGCTCTATCAAAAGAAAGGTTCAACTCCGTGAGTTGAATGCACACATCACAAAGAATTTTCTTAGAATGCTTTTGTTTAGTTATTATGAGAAGATATTCCCGTTTCCAATGAAAGACTCAAAGTAGTCCAAATATCCACTTGTAAATGCTTCAAAAAGAGTGATTGAAAACTGTGCTATGAAAATAAAGAATCACCTCTGTGAGTTGAGTACACACATAACAAAGAAGTTTCTGAGAATGCTTCTGTCTAGTTTTTATGTTAAGATATTTCCTTTTTCACCATAGGCCTCAAAGCACACAAAATGTCCACTTGCTGATTCTACAAAGAGAGTGTTTCAAAACTTCTCTAGAAAAGAACGGTTCAACTCTGTGAGTTGAATGCACACATCAGAAAGGTTTTTCTGATAATGTTTCTGTCTAGTTTTTATGTGAAGATAGTCCCGTTTTGAACGAAGGCCTCAAAGCACTCCAAATGAACACTTGCAGATCCTACAAAAAGAGTGTTTCAAAACTGCTCTATGAAAGGGAATTTTCAACTCTGTGAGTTGAATGAAAACATCAAAAAGAAGTTTCTGAGAATGCTTCTGTCTAGTTTTTAATGTGAGGATATTCCCGTTTCCACGGAAATCCTCAAAGCTATCCAAATATCCACTTGCAGATACTACAAAAAGATTGTTTCAAAATTGGTCTATCAAAATAAAGTTCAACTCTGTGAATTGAGTACACACATCACAAAGAAGTCTCTGATAACTCTTCTGACTAGTTTTTATGTGAAGATATTTCCTTCTTCACCATAGGCCTCAAATCGCTCCAAATGTCCACTTCCAGATACTACAAAAAGTGTGTTTCAAAACTGCTCTATGTAAGCGAATTTTCAAATCTGTGAGTTGAATGCAAACATCACAAAGAAGTTTCTGAGAATGCTTCTGTCTAGTTTTTATGTGAAGGCATTCCCGTTTCCTACGAAATCCTCAAAGCTATCCAAATATCCACTTGCAGATTCTACAAAAAGAGTGTTTCAAAACTGCTCTATCAAAAGAAAAGTTCAACTCTGTGAGTTGAGTACACACCTCACAAAGAAGTTTCTGAGAATTTTTATGTCTATTTTTATGGGAAGGTATTTCCTTTTTTATCATAGACCTCAAAGCCCTCCAAGATTCCACTTACACATTCTACAAAAAAAGTGTTTCAAAACTGCTCTATGAAAAGGAATGTTCAATTCTGTGAGTTGAATGGAAGCATCACAAAGAAGTTTCTGACAATGCTTCTGTGTGGTTTTTATGTGAAGATATACCCGTTTCCAGCAAAGGCCTCCAATCTGTCCAAATAT
>NC_000009.12:64185013-64215162 GCF_000001405.40 Homo sapiens | reverse complement strand
CACCTCTATGTGATGTGTGTATTCATCATGCTTAGTTAAACCATTCTTTTAATTCAGCAGTTTGGATACATTTTTTTTAAGAATCTGTGAAGGGATATTTGGGAGCACAATGAGGCATGTGCTGAAAAAGAAAATATCTCCAGTTAAAAACTAGTAAGAAGCTTTCTGATAAACTGATTTGTGATGTGTGCATTCATCAAACAGAGTTAAAACTTTCTTTTGATTCAGCAGTTTGGAAACACTGCTTTTGTCCATTCTACAAATGGACATTTGGAGGCTCATTGAGGCCGATGGCCAAAAAAGAATATCCCAGGATAAAAACTAGAAGGAAGCTATCTGAGAAACTTAATTGTGATGTGTGCATTCATATAGCAGAGATAAACCTTTATTTTCATTCAGCAGTTTGGAAACACTGTTTTTGTAGAATCTGTGCAGGGATATTTGGGAGCACATTGAGGCCTATGGTCAAAAAAAATCTTCAAATAAAAAGTAGAAAGAAGCTTTCTGAGATACTGCTTTGTGACGTGTGCATTCATCTAACAGATTTAAACATTTCTTTTCATATAGCAGTTTGGAAAAACTGGTTTTGCCCTTTCAGTGAACAGACATTTGGGAGCTCATTGAGGCCAAATGTGAAAAAGCGTATATCCCAGGTTAAAAACTAGGAGGAAGCTATCTTAGAAAGCAGTTTGTAATATATGAATTCAGCTCGCAGAGTAAAAGCTTTCATTTCATTCAGCCTTTTTGGAAACACTGTTTTTGTAGAATCTGCAAAGGGATATTTGGGAGTGCATTGAGGCATATGGTGAAACAGAAATTATCTCCAGATAAAAGCTAGAAAGAACCTTTCTGAGAAACTGCTTTGTGATGTGGGCATTCATCCCACAGTTAAACCTTTCTTTTTACTCAGCAGTTTGGAAACACTGTTTTTGTGGAATCTGCGAAGGGATATTTGGAAACACATTGAGGCCTATGGTGAAGCAGATATTATCTCCAGTTAAAAGCTAGAAAGAAACTTTCTGAGAAACTGGTTTGTGATGTGGGCATTCATCTCACAGAGATAAAAGTTTCCTTTGATTCAGCAGAGTGGAAACACTGTTTTTGTCCTTTCTGTGAATGGATATTTGGGAGCTCATTGAGTCCAAAAGCAAAATAGCGAATATCCCAGGATAGAAACTAGCAGGAAGGTATCTGAGATACTGCTTTGTGATGTGTGCATTCATCTTGCAGAGTTAAACCTTTGTTTTCCTTCAGCAGTTTGGAAACACTGTTTTTGTGCAAACTTTGAAGGTATATTTGGGAGCGCAGTGTTGCCTATGGTGAAAAAGAAAATATTTACAGATGAAAACTAGAAAGAAGCATTCTGTGAAGCTCTCATGTGATTTGTGCATTCATCTCACAGAGTTAAAACTTTCTTTTCATTCAGCAGTATGGAAACACTCTTTTTGTCCATTATGTGAATGGACATTTGGGAGCTCATTGAGGCCAATGGCGAAAAATCAAACATTCCAGGATAAAAAGTAGAAAGAAGCTATCTGACAAACCGCTTTGTGATGAATGCACTTATCTCACAGATTTAAACTTTATTTTTCATTCAGCAGATTGGAAACACTGTTTTTGTAAAATCTGTGAAGGGATATTTGGGAGTCTTTTGATGCCTAAGGTGAAAAAGAAAATATCTTCAGATAAAAACTAGAAAGAAGCTTTGTGAAAAACTGCTTTGTGATGTGTGCATTCATCTCACAGAATTAAACTTTTATTTTGATTCCACAGTTTAGAAACACAGTTTTTCCCCATTCTGCAAATGGACTTTTGGGAGCTCATTGAGGCCAATGGCAAAAGAGAAAATCCTATGATAAAAAGTAGAAGGAAGTTCTCTGAGAAACTGCTTTGTGATGTGTGCATCCATCTCATAGATTTAAAAGTTTCTTTTCATTCAGGAATTTGGATACACTGTTATTGTGGAATCTATGAAGGGATATTTGGGAGTGCATGGAGGCCTATGGTGAAAAAGAAAATATCTTCAGATGAAAACTAGAAAGAAGCTTTCTAACAAGACGCTTTGTGATGTGTGCACTCTTCTCACACAGTTAAACCTTTCTTTTGATTCAGCAGTTTGGAATCACTGTTTTTGCCTATTCTGCTAATGGACATTTGGTAGCCTATTGGGTGAATGGAGAAAAAGTGATTATCCCAGGGTAAAAATTAGAAGGAAGCTATCAGAGAAACTGCTTTGTGATATGTTCATTCAACTCAAAGAGTTAAAACTTTGTTTCGATTCAGCATTTTGGAAAAACTGTTTTTGTCCATTCTGCGAAAGGATATTTGGGATCTCATTGAGGAAATTGGCAAAAAAGTGAATATTGCAGGATAAAAACTAGAAGGAAGTGTCTGAGAAACTGCTTGGAAATGTTTGCATTCATCTGGCAGAGTTTTAAAACTTTCTTTACATTCAGCAGTTTGGAAACACTGTCTTTTTAGAATCTGTGAAGGGATATTTGGGAGCACATTGAAAGCTATGGTGAAAAAGAAAATAACTTCAGATAAAAAGAAGGAAGCTTTGTGAGAAACTACTTTGTGATGTGTGCATTCATCTAACAGATTTAAACCTTTCTTTGATTCAGTAGTTTGAAAAAACTGTTTTTGTCCATTCGGAGGATGGACATTTTGGAGCTCATTGAGGAAAAAGGTGAAAAAGTGAATATCCCAGGATAAAAACTAGAAGGAAGCTATCTGAGAAATGGCTTTGTGAAGTGTGTATTCATATTGCAAACTTAAACCTGTGTTTTAACTCAGCATTTTGGAAACAATCTTTTTGTAGAATCCGTGAAGGGATAAATCAGAGTGCAGTGATACTTATGGTTAAAAAGAAAATATCTTCAGATAAAAAGTTGAAAGAAGCTTTTTAGAAACTGCTTTGTGAAGTGTTGATTCACCTCACAGAGTTAAAACTCTCTTTTGATTCAGCAGTTTGGAAACTCTGTTTTTGTAGAATCTATGATGTGATATTTGGGAGTGCACTGAGGCCTATGGTAAAAAAGAAGATATCATCAGATAAAAAGTTGAAAGAAGCTTTCTGAGAGACTGCTTTGTGATGTGTGGATTCATCTCACAGAGTTAAATCTTTCTTTTCATTCAGCAGTTTGGAAACACTCTTTTTGTGGAATATGTGAAGGAATATTTGGGAGTGCATTAAAGCCTATAGAGAAAAATAAAATATCTTGAGATAAAAAGTAGAAAGAAGCTTTTTGAGAAGCTGCTCTGTGATGTGTGTATTCATCTCACAGATATAAACATTTCCTTTGATTCAGCAGTATGGAAACACTGTTTTTGCCCATTCTGCAAATGGACATTTAGGAGCTCATTGAGACCAAAGGCAAAAAAGAGAATATCCCAGGATAAAAACTAGAAGAAAGCTATCTGAGAAACTGCTTTGCAATGTGTGCATTCATCTCACAGAGTTAAACTTTTCTTTTGATTCAACAGTTTGGAAACACTGTTTTTATACATTTTGCAAATGGACATTTGGGAGCTCATTGAGACCAATGGCAAAAAAGGAAATATCCCAGCATAAAAACTATAAGGAAGCTATGTAAGAACTGCTTTGTGATTTGCACATTCACCTCACAGAATTGAATCTTTCTTTTCATTCAGCTTTTTGGAAACATGTTTTCGTAAAATCTCTGCAGGGATATTTGAGAGTGCATTGAGGTTTATGGTGAAAAAGAAAACATCTATATATAAAAAGTTGGGAGAAACTTTGTGAGGAACAGCTTTATGATGCTTGCATTTATCTCATGGAGTTAAGCCTTTCTTTTCACTCAGCAGTTTGGAAACACGGTTTTTGTCCATTCAGCAAATCAACATTTGGTAGCTCACTGAGGCCAATGGTGAAAAAGGAAATATCCCTGGATAAAAATTAGAAGGAAGTTATCTGAGAAACCACTTTGTGATGTGCACATTCACCTTTCAGAGTTAAACCATTCTTTTCATTCAGCAGTTTGGAAACAGTGTTTTTGTGGGATCTGCAAAGGGATATTTCAGAGTGCATTGAGGCCTGTGGTGAAAAATAAATTAGCTTCAGATAAAAAGTAGAAAGAAGGTTTTTGAGAAACTGCTTTTTTATGTGTGCATTCATCTCATAGGGTTAATCTTTTGTTTTGATTCAGCTGATTGGAAACATTGTTTTTGTCCTTTCTGCAAATGTACATTTAGGAGCTCTTTGAGGCCAAAGGCGAAAAAGCGAATATCCCCGGATAAAAACTAGAAGTAGGCTATCTGAGAAGGAGCTTTGTGATGTGTGCATTCATCTCACAGAGTTAAAGCTTCCTTTTCATTCAACATTTGGAAATACTGCTTCTGTAGAATCTGCAGAGGGATATTTCAGAGTCAATGAGGCCTATGGTGAAAAAGAAATTATCATCAGATAAAAAGTAGAAAGAAACTTTATGAGAAACTGCTTTGTGAGGTGTGATTTCATCTAACAGAGTTAAACTTTTCTTCTGATTCAGCTGATTGGAAACATTGTTTTTGTCCTTTCGGCAAATGTACATTTAGGAGCTCTTTGAGGCCAAAGGCAAAAAAGTGAGTATCCCTGGATAAAAACTAGAAGTAGGCTATCTGAGAAGCAGCTTTGTGATGTGTGCATTCATCTCACAGAGTTAAACCTTCCTGTTCATTCAACATTTGGAAACACTGCTTTTGTAGAATCTGCAAAGGGATATTTGGAAGTGCATTGAGGCCTATGGTGAAAAAGAAATTATCATCAGATAAAAAGTAGAGAGAAGCTTTATGAGAAACTGCTTTGTGATGTGTGCTTTCATCTAACAGAGTTAAACCTTTCTCTTCATTCAGCACTTTGGACACACCGTTTTTGTAGAATCTGGGAAGCAATATTTGGGAGTGCATTAAGGCCTATGGTGAAACAGAAATTATATCTAGATAAAAGTTAGAAAGAAGCTTTCTGAGAAACTGCTTTGTGATGTGTGCATTCATCTCACCAATTTAATCATTTCTTTCAATAGAGCAGTTTCAAAACACTGTTTTTGTCTCACAAACCTTCAAGGAAGCTATCTGAGAAAACACTTTGTGATGTGTGCATTCATCTCACAGAGGTAAACCTTTCTTTTCATTCAGGACTTTGGAAACACTGTTTTTGTAGAATCTGCAAAGAGAAATTTGGGAGCTCATTGAGGCTTATGGTTAAAGGGAAAGTATCTTAAGATAAAAAGTAGAAAGAAGTTTTCTGAGAAACTGCTCTGTGATGGGTGCATTCACCTCACAGAGTTAAACCTTTTGTTTGATTCAACAGTTTGGAAAAACTGTTTTTGTCCATTCTGCAAATGTACATTAGGTAGCTGATTGAGGCCAATGGCAAAAAAGAGATATCCCAGGATAAAAACTAGAAGTAAGCTATGTTAGAAACTGCTTTGTGATGTGTGCTTTCATCTCATAGAGTTAAACCTTTCTTTTTATTCAGCAGTTTAGAAACACTTTTTTTGTAGAATCTGCAAAGGGATACTGGGGAGCACCTTGAGTCTTATGGTGAAAAAGAAAATATCTTCAGATAAAAAGTAGAAAGAATCTTTCAGACAAACTGCTTTGTGATGTCTGCATTCATCTCACAGAGTTAAATATTTCTTTTGATACCCCAGTTTGGAAACACTGATTTGTCCTTTGTGCGAATGAAGATTTGGGAGCTCTTTGAGACCAAATGTAGAAAAGTGAATATCCCAGAATAAAAACTTCAAGGAAGCTATGTGAGAAATGGTTTTGTGATGTGTGCATTCATCTGGCAGAGTTAAACCTTTCTTTTCATTCAGCAGTTTGGAAACACTGTTTTTTTTTTTTTTTTTTTTTCATAGAATCTGTGAAGGGATATTTTGCCCTATAGTGAAAAAGAAAATATCTTCAGACGAAAATTAGAAAAAGCTTTCTCATAAACTGCTTTGTGATGTGTGCATTCATCTCACAGCATTAAACCTTTCATTTCATTCAACATTTTGGAAACACTGTTTTTGTCCATTCTGCGAATGGACATTTGTGAGGTCTTTGAGGCCAATGGCAAAAAAGGGAATATCCCAGGGTAAAAACTACAAGGAAGCTATCTGAGAAACTGATTTGTGATGTCTGCATTCATCTCGCAGAGTCAAACCTTTCTTTTAATTCAGCAGTTTGGAAACAATGTTTTTGTAGCATCTGGGAAGTGACATTTAGGAGCACATTGAGACCTATGTTGAAAAAGAAAATACCTTAAGATAAAATCTAGAAAGAAGCCCTCTGACAAATTGGTTTATGATGTGGACATTCATATCACTGAGTTAAAACTTCCTTTTGATTCAACAATTTGAAACACTGTTTTTGTCCATTCTGCAAATGGACATTTAAGAGCTCATTGAGGCCAGTGGAGAAAAAGAGAATATCCCAGGAAAAAATTAGAAGGAAGATATCTGAGAAACTGCTTTCAGTTGTGTGCATTCATCTTGCAGAGTTAAAATTTTATTTTCATAATGCAGATTGGAAACACTGTTTTTGTAGAATCTGCAAAGGGATATTTGGGAGAGCATTGAGGATTATGGTGAAAAAGAAAATATCTTCATATAAAAACTAGAGAGAAGATTTCTGACAAACTGCTTTGTGATGTAAGCATTCATCTCACAGAATTAAAACTTTCTTTTGATTCAACTGTCTGGAAACACTGTTTCTGTGCATTCTGCAAACAGACATTTGGAAGATCATTGAGGCTAATGGAGAAAAAGAGAATATCCCAAGATAAAAACTGCATGGAAACTCTCTGAAAAACCTCTTTGTGATGTTTGCATTCATCTCACAGAGTTAAACCTTTCCTTTAATTCAGAAGTTTGGAAATACTGTTTTTGTAGAATGTGAGAAGGGATATTTGGGAGCACATTGAGGCCTCTGGTGTAAAAGAAAATATCTTCAGACAAAAAGTAGAAAGAAGCTTTCTGAGGAACTGCTTTGTATGTGTGCATTCATCTGACAGAGTTGTAACTTTCTTTTGATTATGCAGTTTGTATACACTGTTTTTCTCCATTCTGCAAATGGATATTTTTGAGCTCTTTGAGACTAATGTCAAAAAAGGGAATATCCTAGGATATAAACTAGAAGGAAGCTAGCTGAGAAACCGTTTTGTGATAGTGTGATAGGTTCATTCAGCTCACAGAGTTAAACCTTTGTTTTCATTCAGCAGTTTGGAATCACTGTTTTTGTAGAATTGCAAAGGGATATTTGGGAGCCCATTGAGGCCTATGGTGAAAGAGTAAATATCTTCACATAAAAACTAAAAGAAGCTTTCTGAGAAACTGCTTTGTGATGTATGCATTCATCTCACAGAGTTAAACCTTTCCTTTGATTAAGCAGTTTCAAATATTCTGTTTTTCTCCATACTGATAATGGATATTTTTGAGGTCTTTGAGGCCAATGTCAAAAAAGGGAATATCCCAGGATAAAAAATAGAAGGAAGGTATTGAGAAACCGCTTTGTGATGTTTGCATTCATGTCACAGAGTTAAACATTTCTTTTCAATCAGCAGTTTGGAAACACTGTCTTTGTAGAATCTGCAAAGGGATATTTGGGAGCACATTGAGGCCTAAGGTGAAAAAGTAAATATCTTCATATAAAAACCAGAAAGAAGCTTTCTGAGAAACTGCTTTGGGTGTATGCATTCATCTTACAGAGTTAAACATTTCCTGTGATTCCGCAGTTTGGAAACACTGCTTTTGTCCATTCTGTGAATGGACATTTGGGAGCTCATTGAGGTCAATGGAGATAAAGCAAATATCCCAGGATAAAAAATTGAAGGAAGCTATCTGAGAAATCACTTTGTGCTGTGTGCATTCATCTCACAGTGTTAAACTTTTCTTTTGATTCAGCAGTCTGGAAACACTGATTTGTGATTTGTGCAAATAAACATCTGGGAGTTGATTGAGGACAAAGGCAAAAAGGAGAATATCACAGGATAAAAACTAGAAGGAAGTTAGCTGAGAAACTGCTTTGTGATGTGTGCATTCATTTTGCAAGTTAAAACTTTGGTTTCATTCAGCAGTTTGGAAACACTGTTTTTGTAGAATCTGCTAATGGATATTTGGGAGCACATTGAGCCTATGGTGAAAAAGAACATATCTTCAGATAAAAACTAGAAAGAAGCTTTCTGAGAACATTCTTTGTGATGTCTGCCTTTACCTCAGAATTCAACCATTCTTTTGATTCAACAAAAGAATGTCTTGTGATGTACGCATTCATGTCACAGAGCTAAACCTTTCTTTTGTTTCAGCAGTTTGGAAACACTCTTTTGTCAGTCAGGTGAATGGACAATAGGGAGCACCTGGAGGCAATGATGAAAAAGTGAATAACCCAGGATAAAAACTAGAGGGAAGCTATTTGAGGTAGAATCTGTGAAGGGATATTTGGGAGTGCATTGAGGTCTAAGGTGAAAAAGAAAATACCTTCAGATAAAAAGTAGAAAGAAGCTTTCTGAAAAACTGCTTTGCGATGTGTGCATTCATCACACAGAGGTAAACATTTCTTTAGACTCAGCAGTTTGGAAACACTTTTTTTGTCCATTCTGTGAATGGACATATGGGAGCTCATTGAGACCAATGGAGAAAAAGTGAATATCACAGGAAAAAACCTAGAAGGAAGCTATCTGAGAAAAGGCTTTCTGATGTGTGTATTCTTCTCACAGTGTGAAACCTTTTTTTCAATCAGCAGTTTGAAAACACTGTTTTTGTAGAATCTGTAAAGAGATAATTGGAAGCACATTGAGGCCTATGGTGAAAAAGAAAATGTCTTGAGATAAAAAGTAGAAAGAAGCTTTCTGAGAAACTGCCTTTTGAAGTATGCATTCATCTCACAGAGTTATACCTTTCTTTTGATTCAGCAGCTTGGAAACATGGTTTTTGTCCATTTTGTGAATGGATGTTTGTCAGCTTATTGAGGTCAATGGCGAAAAAGTGAATATCCCATGATAAAAACTAGAAGGAAGCTTTCTGAGAAACTGCTTTGTGATGTGTGCATTCATCTTACAGAGTTAAACCGTTTTTTATGATTCCTTAGTTGGGAAACACTTATTTGTCCATTCTGTGAATGGGCTTTGGGGAGCACATTGAGTACAATGACAAAAAAGTGAATATCCCAGGATAAAAACTAGAAGGAAGCTATCTGAGAAACTGCTTTTTGATGTGTGCATTCAACTCACAAAGTTCAACGTTTTTTTTCACTAAGCAGTTTGTAAACACTGTTTTTGTAGAATCTGCAAAGAGGTATTTGAGAGCGCATTGTATCTTATGGTGAAAAAGAAAATATCTTCAGATAAAATGTAGAAAGAAGCTTTCTGAGGATCTGCTTTGTGATGTGTGCATTCATCAAACAGAGTTAAAACTTTCTTTTGATTCAGCAGTTTGGAAAAACTGTTTTTGTCCATTCTGTGAATGGACATTTTGGAGCCCATTGAGGCCAATGGTGAAGAAGGGAATATCCCAGGACAAAAACTAGAATTAAGGCACCTGAAGAACTGCTTGGTGATGTGTGCTTTCATCCCACAGGGATAAATGTTTGTGTTCATGCAACACTTTGGAAACACTATTTTTGTACAATCTGTGAAGGGATATTTGAGAGTGCATTGAGGCCTATGGTGAAAAAGAAAATATCTTCAGATAAAAACTAGAAAGAATCTTCCTGGGGAACTGCTTTGTGATGTGTGCATTCATCTCACAGAGTTAAGCCATTCTTCTGATTCAGCAGTTTGGAAACTCTGTTTTTGTCCATTCTGTGACTGGACATTTAGGAGCTAGTTGAGGCCAAAGGGGAAAAAGTGAATATCCCAGGATAAAAACTTGAAGGAAGCTATCTGAGAAACTGCTTTGTGATGTCTGTATTTAACTCACAGTGTTGAACCATTTTTTTCATTCAGCAGTTTGGAAACACTGTTTTGTAGAATCTGCAAAGGGATATATTGGAGTGCATTGAGGTCGATGGTGAAAAGTAAATATCATCAGATAAAAAGTAGAAAGGAACTATCTGTGAGACTGCTTTGTGATGTGTGCATTCATCTAAAACAGTTACACTTTTCTTTAGACTCAGCAGCTTGGAAACAGTGTTTTTGTCCTTTCTGAGAGTGGACATTTCGGAGGTCACTAATGCCAATGGCAAAAAAGTGAATATCCCAGGATAAAAACTAGAAGGAATCTATCTGACAAAAAGCTTTCTGATGTGTGCATTCATCTCACAGAGTTAAACCTTTTTTCTCACTCAGTAGGTTGGAAATACTGTTTTTGTAGAACCTGTGAAGGCATATTTTGGAGGTCATTGAGTTCTATGGTGCAAAAGAAAATATCTGCAGATAAACAGTAGAAAGAAGCTTTCTGAAGAACAGCTTTTGATGTGTGCATTCATCTCCCAGGGTTAAAATTTTCTTTTGATTCAGAAGTTGGGAAACACTGTTTTTGTGAATTCTGCAAATGGACATTTGGAAGGTCATTGAGGCCAATGGCAAAAAAGTGAATATCCCAGGATAAAACTAGAAGGAAGCTATCTGAGAAACCCCTTTGTGATGTGTGCATTCATCTTGCATATTTAAACCTTTCTTTTCATTCAGCAGTTTGGAAACACTTTTCTTGCAGAATCTGTAAAGGGAAATTTGGGAGCACATTAAGGCCTAAGGTGTAAAATAAAATATCTTCATATAAAAAGTAGAAAGAAGCTTCTGTGAAACTGCTTTGTTATGTGTGCATTCATCTCAAAGAGTTTAACCTTTCATTTGATTCAGCTGTTTCAAAACACTTTTTGTCCATTCTGCAAATGGACATTGGGAGGTCATTGAGGTCAATAGTGAAAAAGTGAATACCACAGGATAAAAACTAGAAGGAAGCTCTCTGAGTAACCACTTTCCGATGTGTGCATTCAATTCGCAGAGTTAAACCTTTCTTTTTCATTAAGCAGTTTGTAAACACTGTTTTTGCAGAATCCTCAAAGAGATATTTGGGAGTGTATCGAGGCCTATGGTGAAAAATAAAATATTTCCGATAAAAACTAGAAAGAACATTCTGATATTCTACTTTTTGATGTGCCCATTCATCTCATACAGTTAAACCTTTCTTTTGATTCAGCAGTTTGGAAACACTCTTTTTGCCCATTCTGTGAATGGATATTTCAGAGCTCACTGAAGCCAATGGCGAAAAAGTGAATATTCCAGAATAAAAACTAGAAGGAAGCTATCTGAGAAACTGCTTTGTGATGTATGCATTCATCTCACAGAGTTAAACCATTCTTTTCATTCAGCAGTTTAGATAAAGTCTTTTTGTAGGATCTGTGAAGGGATACTTGGGAGCACTTTGAGGCCTATGGCGAATAAGAAAACATCTTCAGAGAAAAAGTGAAGTCTTTCTGAGAAACTGCCTTGTAATGTGTGCATTCATCTCACAGATTAAAAACTTTCTTTTGATTTAGCAATTTGGAAACACTCTTTTTGTCCACTCTGTGAATGGACATTTGAGATATCATTGAGACCAATGGTGAAAAAGTGACTATCCCAGGATTAAAACTAGAAGAATGCTACCTGAGAAACTGCTTTGTGATGAGTGCATTCATCTCGCAGATTTAAACTTTTGTTTTAATTCAGCAGTTTGGAAACACTGTTTTCATGGAATATGCGAAGGGATATTTGGGAGTGCTTTGAGGATGAAGATGAAAAAGAAAATACTTTCAGATAAAAACTAGAAAGAAGCTTTCTGAGAAATTGATTTGTGTTGTGTGCATTAATCTCAAAGAGTTAAACTTTTCTTTTCATTCAGCAGTTGGGAAACATTGTTTTTGTCCATTCTGCTAATGGACATTTGGGAGCTCATTGAGGCCAATGGCAAAAAAGTGAATATCCCAGGATAAAAACTGGAAGGAAGCTATATGAGAAACCACTTTGTGATGTGTGCATTCATCTCGCAGAGTTATACCCTTCTTTTCATTCCGCAGTTTGAAAACACTGTGTTTGTACAACCTGCAAAGGGCTATTTGGGAGCACATTGAGGCCTATGGTGAAAAAGAAAATATCTTCAGATAAGAAGTAGAAAGAAGATTTCTGAGAAGGTGGTTTGTGTTGCATGCATTCATCTCACAGACTTAAACCTTCCTTTTGATTCAGTAGTTCTAGTCACCTCTCACCTCTCACTATGTCCCTTCAGCTTCTATCTTTGTATGGCCTGTTCTTTCTTAGGTTATGATTGTAGAGTGATGATTATTATAATATTGGAATATAGAGTAATTGCTAAAAAGTAATGATTAATGATATTCACATATAATCATATGTATGATCTATATCTACTATAACTGTTCTTATTTTATATATTTAATTATACTGGAACAGCTCGTGCCCTTGGTCTCTTGCCTCGGACTTGGCTGCCTTGCTGCCCACAATTGGCCTCAATGAGCTCCCAAATTTCTATTCACATAAAGGACAAAAACAGTGTTTCCAAAGTGCTGAATCAGCAGAAAGGTTTAACTGTGAGATGAATCCACACATCAAAAAGCAGTTTCTCAGAAAGCTTCTTTTGATTTTTTATCTGAAGATATTTTCATTTTCACCATAGGCCTCAATGCAATCCCAAATATCCCTTAGCAGATTCTACAAAAACAGTGTTTCCAAACAGCTGAATTAAAAGAAAGTTAAGAAAGTCTGTGAGATGAATGCCCACATCACAAAGCAGATCCTCAAATAGCTTCCTTCAAGTTTTTATCCTGGGTTATTTACCTTTTTGCCATTGGCCTGAATGAGCTCCCAAATTTCCATTTGCAGAATGCACATAAACAGTGTTTCTAAACTGCTGAATCAAAAAGAAGGTTTAACTCTGTGAGATGAATGCACACATCACAGAGAAGTTTCACAGAAAGCTTCTTTCTAGTTTTTATCTGAAGATATTTTCTTTTTCACCATGGGCCTCAAAGCACTCCCAAATATTCCTTCTCAGATTCCACAAAAACAGTTTTTCAAAACTATTGAATGTAAAGAAAGGTTTAACTCTGGGAGATAAATGCACACATCAAAAAGTTGTTTCTCAGATAGCTCCCTTCTAGTTTTTGTCCTGGGATACTCACTTTTTTGCCATTTGCTTCAGTGAGCTCACGAATGTCCATTCTCAGAAAGGACTAAACCAGTATTTCCAAACTGCTGAATCAAAGAAAGCTTTAACTCTGTGAGATGAATGCCCACATCACAAAGCAGTTTCTCAGAAAGCTTCATTCTAGTTTTACCTGAAGTTATTTTCTTTTTCACCATAGGCCTCAATGCACTCCCAAACATCCCTTCTAAGATTCTACAAAAACAGGTTCCAAATTGCTGAATGAAAAGAAACGTTTCACTCTGTGAGATGAATGCACTCAATACAAAGTGGTTTCTGAGATAGTTTCCTTCTGGTTTCACCCTGGGATATTCGCTTTTTCACCATTGGCCTCAATGAGCTCCCAAATGTCCATTTTCAGAAAGAACAAAAACAGTGTTTCCAAACTGCTGAATTAAAAGAAAGGTTTACTCTGTGAGATGAAGGCACACAACACAAAGCAGTTTCAAAGAAAGCTTCTTTCTACTTTTAATTTGAAGATAATTTCTTTTTCACCATCGACCTCAATGAGCTCCCAAATATCCCTTTGCAGTTTCTACAAAAACGGTGTTTCCAAACTGCTGAGTGAAAAGAAACATTTAATTCTGTGAGATGAATGCACATATCAAAACCTGTTTCTCAGATAATTTCCTTCAGGTTTTTTTTTCCTGGGATATTCACCTTTTCACCATTGGCCTCAAGAGCTCCCAAATTTCCATTTGCAGAATGGACAAATACAGTGTCTCCAACCTCTGAATCAAAAGGAAGGTTTAACTCTGTGAGGTGAATGCACACATCACAAATCAGTGTCTCAGAAACCTTCTTTCTTATTTTCAGCTGAAGATATTTTATCTTTCACCATAGGCCTCCATGTGCTCCTAACTATCCCTTCACAGATTATACAAAAAAAAATGCTTCCAAATTGCTGAATGAAATAGAGGTTTTAGTCAGCCAGATGAATGCATACACCAAAAAGCATTTTCTCAAACAGTTTCTTTGTAGTTTTTATCCTGGGATATTCACTTTTTCACCATTGGCCTCAATGAGCTCCCAAGTGACCATCCACAGAAAAGACAAAAAGAATGTTTTGAAACTGCTGAATCAAAAGAAAGTTTCATCTCTGTGACATGAATGCATACATCACAAAGCAGCTTCTCAGAAAGCTTTTTCCTGCTTTTTATCTGAAGCTATTTTCCTTTTCACCTTAGGCCTCAATGTACTTCCAAATATCCCTTCAAAGTTTCTACAAAAACAGTGTTTCCAAACTTCCGAGTGAGAAGAAAGGATTAACTCTGTGAGATGAATGCACACATCACAAAGCAATTTCTCACATAGCTTCCTTCTAGTATTTATCCTGGGATATTCGATTTTTTGCCATTGGCTCAATGAGCTGCCAAATGTCCATTTGCAGGATGGACAAAAACAGTATTTCCAAACTGCTGAATCAAGAGAAAGGTTTAACTCTGTGAGATGAAAGCAAACATCACAGAGCAGTTTCTCAGAAAGCGTCTTTCTACTTTTTGTCTTAAGATATTTTCTTTTTCATCATAGATCTCAAAGCACTCCAAAATAAACCTTAACAGATTCTACAAAAATAGTGGTGTTTCCAAACTGCTGAATGAGAAGAAAGGATTAACTATGAGAGATGAATTCACACATCACAAAGCAGTTTCTCAGATAGCTTCTTTGGAGTTTTTAATCCTAGGATATTTACTTTTCCTCCTTTGGCCTCAATGAGCTCCCAAATTTCCATTCACAGAATGGACAAAAACAGTATTGCCAAACTGCACAATCCAAAGAAAGTTTTAACTCTGTGAGATGAAAACACAAATAACAAAGCAGTTTCTCAGAAAGCTTCTTTCTAGTTTTTGTCAGAAGATATTTTCTTTTTCATCATATGCTTCAAAGCACTCCAAAATATCCCTTCACGGATTCTACAAAAAAAGTTTAACTCTGTGAGGTGAATGCACCCATCACAGAGCAGTTTCTCAGAAAGTTTCTTTCTACTTTTTACCTTAAGACATTTTCCTTTTCACCATAGGCCTCAATGTGCTATGAAATATTCCTTCGCAGATTCTACAAAAACAGTATTTCCAAACTGCTGAATGAAAAGAAAGGTTTAACTCTGTGAGATGAATGCACACATCACAGAGTTGTTTCTCAGATAGCTTCCTTCTAGTGTTTACCCTCGGATATTCTATTTTTTGTCATTAGCCTCAATGATCTCCCAAATGTCCATTTGCAGAATGGACAAAAAGAGTGTTCTCAAACTGCTGAATCAAAAGAAAGTTTTAACTCTGTGTGATGAAAGCCACCATCACAAAGCAGTTTCTCTGAAAGTTTCTATTTTTTATTTGAAGATATTTTCTTTTTCACCATAGGCCTCAATACACTCTGAAATATCCCTTGGCAGGTTCTAGAAAAAGAGTGGTCTCAAACTACTGGATCAAAACAAAGGTTTAACTCTGTGAGATGAATGCATACATGACAAAGCAGATTCTCAGAAAGCTTCTGTCTGGTTATCATTTGAAGATATTTCCTCTTTCACCTTAGGACTGAATGCACTCTGAAATATCCCTTCACAGATTCTACAAAAACAGTGTTTCCAAACTCCTGGATCAAAAGAAAAGTTAAACTCTGTGAGACGAATGCACATATCACAAAGTAGTTTCTCAGAAAGCTTCTTTCTACTTTTTACTTAAGATATTTTCTTTTTCACCATAGGTCTCAGTCTGCCCCCAAATACACTTTGGAGATGCTACAAAAACAGTGTTTCAAAACTGCTGAATGAATAGAAATGTTTAACTGTGTGAGATGAATGCACACATCACAAAGTGGTTTCTCAAATAGCTTCCTTATAGTGTTTATCCTGGGATATTCACTTTTTCTCCATTGGCCTCAATGAGCTCCCAAATGCCCATGCACAGAAGGGACAAAAACAGTGTTTCCAAGTGATTGAATCAAAAGAAAGGTTTAGCTCTGTGAGATGAATGCACACATGACAAAACAGTTTGCCAGAAAGCTTCTTTCTAGTTTTTATCTGAAGATATTTTCTTTTTCACCATAGGCGTCAATGCACTCTGAAATATCCCTTATCAGATTCTTAAAAAAACAGTGTTTCCAAACTTCTGAATGAGAAGAAAGGATTAACTCTGTGAGAGGAATGCACACATCACAAAGCATTTTCTCAGGTAGCTTCCTTCTAGTGTTTCTCCTGGGATATTCAATTTCTCACCATTGGCCTCAATGAGCTCCCAAATGTCCATTCACAGAATGGACAAAAACAGTGTTTCCAAACTGCTGAATCAAAAGAAAAGTTTAACTCTCTGAGATGGATGCACACATCACAAAGGAGTTTCCCAGAAAGATTCTTTGTAGTTTTTATATGAAGATATTTACATTTTCACCATAGGCCCCAATGGGCTCCCAAATATCCCTTTGTAGATACTACAAAAACAGTGTTTTCAAACTGCTGAATGAAAAGAATGGTTTAACTCTGTGAGATGAATGCACACATCACAAAGCAGTTTCTCAGATAGTTTCCTTGTAGTTTTTAACCTGGGATATTTGCTTTTTTTCCACTGCCCTCAATAAGCTCCCAAATGTCCTTTCACAGAATGGTCAAAAACACTGTTTCAAAACTGTTGATTTAAAAGAAAGGTTTAACTCTGTGAGATGATAGTCCATAGCACAAAGCAGTTTCTCACAGTTCTTCTGTCTAGTTTTTGTTTGAAGATAATTCTTTTATCATCATAGGCTCCAATTCACTCTGAAATATCCCTTCCCAGATCCTACAAAAGCAGTGCTTCCAAACGTCTGAATGAAAAGAATTGTTTAACTCTGATAGATGAATGCACACATCTCAAAGCGTTTTCTCATGTAGCTTCCTTCGAGTTTTTACCCTGGGATATTCCCTTTTTTGCCTTTGGCCTCAATCACGTACAAAATGTCCATTCGCAGAATGGACAAAAAGAGTGTTTCCAAATTGCTGAATCAAAAGAAAGGTTTAACTCTGTGAGGTGAATGCACCTATCACAGAGCAGTTTTTCAGAAAGCTTCTTTCTAGTTTTTTATCTTAACATATTTTCTTTTTCACCATAGGTCTCCATGCACTCCCCAATATCCCTTCACAGATTCTACAAAAAAAGTGTTTCCAAACTGCTGAATGTAAGTAGAGGTTTAACTCTGGGAGATGAATGCACACATCACAAAGTGGTATCTCAGATAGCTTCCTTGAAGTCTTCATCTTGGGATATTTGCTTTTTCCACACTGGCCTCAAAGATGTCCCAAATTTCCATTAGTAGAATGGACAAAAGCAGTGTTTCCAAACTGTTGAAACAAAAGAAATGTATAACTCTGTGAGATGAAAGCACATACCACAAAGCAGTTTCTCAGAAACTTTCTGTCTAGGTTTTATTTGAAGATATTTTCTTTTTCACCATATGCCCCAATGTGCTCCAAAATATCCCTTTGCAGATCCTACAAAAACAGTGTTTCCAAACTGCTGGACCAAAGAAAGCTATGAATATGTGAGGTGAATGCACCCATCACAGAGCAGTTTCTCAGAAAGCTTCTTTCTACTTTTTATCTTCAGATTTTTTTCACCATAGGTCTCAATGTGCTCCCAAATATCCCTTCACAGATTCTAAAAAAACAGTGTTTCCAAACTGCTGAATGAATGCAATGGTTTAACTCTGCAAGATGAATGCACACATCACAAAGCAGTTTTTCATATAGCTTCCTTGAAGTTTTTAACCAGTGATATTCACTTTCTCTCCTTTGGCCTCAATGAGCGCCCTAATGTCCATTCACAGAATGGACAAAAACAGACTTTCAAAGCACAGAATGAAAAGAAATGTTTAACTCTGTGAGATGAAAGCACACATCACAAATCAGTTTCTCAGAAAGCTTCTTTCTAGTTTTTATCTGAAGATATTTTCTTTTTAACCATAGGCCTCAATGCACTCCAAAATACCCCTAAACAGATTAAACAAAAACAGAGTTTCCAAACTGCTGAACTTAAAGAAAGGTTTCATTCTGTGAGATGAATGCACACATCACAAAGTGGTTTCTCAGATAGCTTACTTGATGTTTTTATCCTGGGATATTCGCTTTTTCTCCATTGGCCTCAATGAGCTCCAAAATGTCCATTGGCAGAATGGACAAGGCAGTCTTTCCAAACTGCTGAATGAAAAGAAATATTTAACTCTGAGATGAAAGCACACATCACAAAGCAGTTTCTCAGGAATACTCTTTCTAGTTTTTGTCTAAAGATGGTTTCTTTTTCACCATGGGCCCCAAAGTGCTCCAAAATATCCCTTTGCAGATTCTACAAAAACTGTGTTTCCAAATCACTGAATGAAAAGAAACATCTAACGCTGTGAGATAAATACACACATCTCAAAGCAGTTTCTCATGTAGCTTCCTTCTAGTTGTTACCCTGGGACATTTGTTTTTTTGTCATTGGCCTCAATCAGCTACAAAATGTCCATTCACAGAATAGGCAAAAACAGTGTTTCAAAACTGCTGAATCAAAAGAAATGTTTACCTCTGTGAGATGAATACACTCATCACAGAATGGTTTCTCAGAAAGCTTATTTCTAGTTTTTATCTTAAGATATTTTCTTTTTCACCATAGATCTCCATGCACTCCCAAATATCACTTCCAAGATTGTACAAAAACAGTGTTTCAAAACTGCTGATTGCAAGGAAATGTGTTTGACTCTGTGAGATGAATGCAAACATCACAAAGTGGTTTCTCAGGTACCTTCCTTGAAGTTTTTATCCTGGGATATTCACTTTTTCTCCATTGGCCTCAATGAGCTCCCAAATGCCCATTGGCAGAATGGACAAAAACAGTGTTTCCAAAGTGTTGAATCCAAAGAAAGGTTTAACTCTGTGAGATGAAAGCACACATCACAAAGCAGTTCTCAGAAAGCTGCTCTCTAGTTTTTATTTGAAGATATTTTCTTTTCCACCATAGGCCTCAATACACTCCAAAATAACCCTTCACAGATCCTACAAAAACAGTGTTTCCAAACTGCTGGATCAAAAGAAAGGTTTAACTCTGTGAGATGAATGCACACATCACAAAGCAGTTTCTCAGAAAGATTCTTTCTAGTTTTTATATGAAGATATTCCCTTTTTCACCCTAGGCCTCAATGGGCATCCAAATATCCCCACACATATTCTGCAAAAACAGTGTTTCCAAACTGCTGGATTAATTAATTAAAGGTTTAATTCTGTGAGGTGAATGCATACATTAGAGAGTGGTTTCTCAGAAATTTTCTCTCTACTTTTTATCTGACGATATTTTCTTTTTAACCATAGTTCTCAACATGCTCCCAAATATCCCTTCAAAGATTCTATGAAAACAGTGTTTCCAAACAGCTGAATGAAAGGATCCATTTAGCTCTGTAAGATGAATGCACACATCACAAAGTGGTTTTTCAGATAGCTTCCTTGTATTTTTTATTCTGCGATATTCCCTTTTTCTCCATTGTCCTAAATGAGCTCCCAAATGTCAATTCACAGAATGGACAAATATAGTGTTACAAAACTGCTGAATAAAAAAAAAAAGTTTAACTCTGTGAGATGAAAGCACACATCACAATGCAGTTTGTCAGAAAGCTTCCTTCTACTTTTTATCTGAAGTTTTTTTTTCACCTTAGGAATCAATGCACTCTGAAATATCCCTTCACAGATTCTACAAAAACAGGGTTTCCAAACTGCTGAATGCAAAGAAAGGTTTAACTGTGCAAGATGAATACACACATCACAAAGCAGTTTCTCAGATAGCTTCCATGAAGTTTTTATCCAGTGATATTCACTTTCTCTCCATTGGCCTCAATGAGCTCCCAAAAGTCCAGTCACAGAATGGACAAAAACAGTGTTTCCAAACTGCTTAATCAAAAGAAAATTTTAAGTGTGTGAGTTGAATGCACACATCACAAAGCAGTTTCTCAGAAAGCTTCCTTTTAGTTTTTATATGAAGATATTTACTTTTTCACCATAGGCCTCAATGGGCTCCCAAATATCACTACACGGATTCTACAAGAACAGTGTTTGCAAACTGCAGTGTTTGCAAACTGCAGAATCAAAAGAAAGGTTTAACTCTGTGAGATGAATGCACACATCAAAAAGCCATTTCTCAGATATCTTTCTTGAAGTTTTTATCATGGGATATTTGCTTTTTCTCCTTTGGCCTCAATGAGCTCTCAAATGTCCATTCCAAGAATGGGCCAAAACAATCTTTCAAAAAGGTTGAATGAAAAGAAATGTTTAACTCTGTGAGATGAAAGCATACATCACAAAGCAGTATCTCAGAAAGCTTCCTGCTAGTTTCTATCTGAAGATATTTTCTTTTTCACCATAGACCCCAATGTGCTCCAAAATATCCCTTCACAGATTCTACAAAAGCAATGTTTTTATACTGCTGAGTGAAAAGAAATGTTTAACTCTGAGAGTTTAATGCACACATCTCTAAGTGGTTTCTCATGTAGCTTCCTTCTAGTGTTTACCCGGGGATATTCCCCTTTTTTGCCTTTGGCCTCAATCAGCTACGAAATGTCCATTTGCAGAATGGACAAAAACGGGGTTTCCAAACTGCTGAATGAAAAGAAAGGTTTACCTCTGTGAGGTGAATGCACCCATTACTGAGCAGTTTCTCAGAAAGATTCTTTCTAGTTTTTATCTTAAGATATTTTCTTTTTCACTGTAGGTCTCCATGCACTCCCAAATATCCCTTCGCAGATTCTACAAAAACAGGGTTTCCAAACTGCTGAGTGTAAGGAAAGGTTTAACTCTGGGAGATGAATGCACACATCACAAAGCAGTTTCTCAGATGGCTTCCTTGTAGTTTGTATCCTGGGATATTTGCTTTTTCTCCTTTGGCCTCAATGATCTCCCAAATGTTCATTGGCAGAATGGACAAAAGCAGTGTTCCCAAACTTTTGAATCAAAATAAACGTTTAACTCTCTGAGATGGAAGCACGCATCACAAAGCAGTTTCTCATAAAACTTCTTTCTAGTTTTTATCTGAAGATATTCACTTTTTTACCATAGGCCTCAATGGGTTCCCAAATATCCCTTCACAGATTCTACAAAAACAGTGTTTCCAAACTGCTGCATCAATAGAAAAGTTTAACTCTGTGAGGTGAATCCCCATCCCCGAGTAGTTTCTCAGAAAGCTTCTTACTAATTTTTATCTTAGGATATTTACTTTTTCAACTTAGGTCTCAATGTGCTCCCAAATATCCCTTTGCAGATTCTACAAAAAAAAAGCATTTCCAAACTGATGAATGAAAAGAAAGGTTCAACTCTGTGAGGTGAATGCACACATCACAAAGTGGTTTCTCAGATAGCTTCCTTGTGGTTTTTATTCTGTGATATTTTCTTTTTCTCCATTGGCCTCAATGAGCTCCTAAAAGTCCAGTCACAGAATTGGAGAAAAACAGTTTTTCCAAACTGCAGAATGAAAAGAAAAATTTAACTCTGTGAGATGAATGCACACATGACAAAGCAGTTTCTCAGAAAGCTTCTTTTTAGTTTTTATATGAAGATATTTACTCTTTCACCATAGGCCTCAAAGGGCTCTGAAATATCACTTCGCAGATTCTACAAAACTGTGTTTCCAAACTGCTGGATCAAAAGAAAGGTTTAAATCTGTGAGGTGAATGCACCCATCACAGAGCAGTTTGTCAGAAAGCTTCTTTGTAGTTTTTATTTGAAGATATTTTCTTTTTCACCATAGGCCTGAATGCACTCCAAAATATCCCTTAACAGATTCTACAAAACAGTGTTTCCAAACTGCTGAATGAAAGGAAACTTTTAACTCTGTGAGATGAATGCACACATCACAAAGCAGTTTCTCAGATACCTTCCTTCTAGTGTTTATCCTGGGATATTAGCTTTTTTGCCATTGGCCTCAATCAGCTACCAAATGTCCATTCACAGAATGGACAAAAATGATGTTTCCAAACTGCTGAATCTAAAGAAAGGTTTAACTCTGTGAGGTGAATGCACACATCACAAACCGGTTTCTCAGATAGTTTCCTTCAAGTTTTTATCCTGGGATATTTCCTTTTTCTCTGTTGGCCTCAATGAGCTCCAAAATATCCGCTTGCAGAATGGACAAAAACAGTGTTTCAAAACTGTTAAATCAAAAGAAATGATTAATTCTTTGAGATGAAATCACACATCATGAAGCAGTTTCTCAGAAAGCTTTTCTTTAGTTTTTATTTGAAGATACTTTCTTCTTCACCATGGGCCTAAATATGCTCCAAAATATCCCTTTGCAGATTCTACAAAAACAGTGTTTCCAAACTGTTGAATCAAAAGAAAGGGTTAACTCTTTGAGATGAATGCACACATCACAAGGTGGTTGCTGTGTTTATCCTGGGATATTAGATTTTTTGCCAGTGGCCTCAATCAACTACTAAATATCCATTCACATAATGGACATAAACAGTGTTTCTAAACTCCTGAATTGAAAGAAACTTTTAACTCTGTGAGGTGAATGCACCCATCACAGACCAGTTTCTCAGAAAGCTTCCTTCTACTTTTCATCTTTTTTTTTTGAGATGGTGTCTCACTCTGTCCCCCAGGCTAGAGTGCAGTGGTGAAATCTCAGCTCACTGCAATCTCTGCCTCCCAGGTTCATGCCATTCTCCTGCTTCAGCCTCCCAAGTAGCTCAGATTACAGGCACCAGCCACCACGCCCAGCTAATTTTTTTGTATTTTTAGTAGAGACGGGGTTTCACCATGTTAGCCAGGATAGTCTCTATCTCCTGAACTCGTGATCTGCCTGCCTTGGCCTCCCAAAGTGCTGGGATTACAGGCTTGAGACACCACACCCCGACCTACTTTTTATCTTAAGATATTTTCTTTTTCACCACAGGTCTCAATGCACTCCCAAATACCCCTTTGCAAATTCTTCAAAAAACAGTGTTTCCAAACTGCTGAATGAAAGGAAAGGTTTAACTCTGCAAGATGAATGCACACATCAAAAAGCAGTTTCTCAGATAGCTTCCATGGAATTTTTATTCTGGGAAATTCCCTTTTTCTCCATTGACCTCAATGAGCTCCCAAATATCTATTCGCAGAATGGACAAAAAGTGTTTCAAAACTGTTGAATCAAAAGAAAGGATTAATTCTGTGGGATGAATGGAGCCCTTTGCAGATTCTAAAAAACAGTGTTTCCAAACTGCTGGATCAAAAGAAAGGTTTAACTCTGTGAGGTCAATGCACCCATCACAGAGCAGTTTCTCAGAAACCTCCTTTCTACTTTTTATCTTAAGATATTTTCTTCTGCAACATAGGTCTCAATAGGCTGCAAAATATCCCTTCACACATTCTGCAAAAACAGTGTTTCCAAACTGCTGAATGAAAAGAAATGTTTCACTCTGTGAGATGAATGCACACATCACAAAGCAGTTTCTCAAGTAGCTTTTTATCCTCAAGTAGTTTTTATCCTGGGATATTCAATTTTTTGCCATTGGCCTCAATCACCTGCAAAATGTCCATTTGCAGAATGGACAAAAACAGTATTTCCAAACTGCTGAATCAAAAGAAAGGTTTAAATCACCAAGATTAATGCACCCATCACAAAGTGGTTTCTCAGATAGCTTTCTTGAAGTTTTTATCCTGTGATATTCACTTTTTCTCCACTTGCCTCTATGTGTTCCCAAATGTCCATTCTCAAAATGGACAAAAACAGTCTTTCTAACTGCTGAATGAAAAGAAATATTTAACTCTGTGAGATAAAGCACACATCACAAAGCAGTTTCTCAGAAATGTTCTGTCTAGTTTTTATCTGAAGATATTTTCCTTTTAAACATAGGCCTCAATGCGCTCTGAAATATTCCTTAACAAATTCTACAAAAACAGTGTTTCCAAATTGCTTAAGGTAAAGAAAGTTTAAATCTGTGAGGTGAATGCTCACATCACAAAGTGGTTTCTCAGATAGATTCCTTGAAGTTTTCATCCTGGGACATTTGCTTTTTCTCCATTGGACTCAATGAGCTCCCAAATATCCATTCACAGAATAAACAAAAACAGTCTTTCCAAACTACTGAATGAAAAGAAATATTTAATTCTGTGAGATGAAAGCAGACATCACAAAGCACTTTCTCAGAAAGGACGTTTCTAGTTTATATCTGAAGTTATTTTCTTTTTTACCATGGGCCTTAACATGCTCCAAAATATCCCTTCTCAGATTCTACAAAAACTGTGTTTCCAAATGGCTGAATGATAAGAAAGTATAAACTGTGCAAGATGAATGCACACATCACAAAGTGGTTTTCTCAGATAGCTTTCTTCCAGTATTTATCCTGGGAAATTTGATATTTCACCATAGGCCTCAATGAGCTCCCCAATGTCCATTCACAGAATGGACAAAAACAATGTTTACAAACTGCTGAATAAAAATAACGATTTAACTCTGAGAGATGAAAGCACACATCACAAGGCAGTTTCTCAGAAAGCTTTCTTCTACTTTTTATCTGAAGATATTTTCTTTTTCACCCTTGGCCTCAATGCACTGGGAAATATCCCTTCACAGATCCTAAAAATACAGTGTTGCCAAACTGCCGAATGTAAAGAAAGGTTTATCTCTGTGAGATGAATGCACACATCACAATGCAGTTTCTCAGAAACATTATTTCTAGTTTTTATAAGAAGTTATTTACTTTTTCACTGTAGACCTCAATGGGCTCCCAAATATACATTTGGAGATTCTACAGAAAAAGAGTTTCCAAACTGCTCGACCTCTGTGAGTTGAATGAAACCATCACAGAGAAGTTTCTCAGAAACTTTCTTTCTACTTTTTATCTTCAGATTTTTTTTCACCAAAGATCTCCAAGTGCTCCCAAACATCCCTTTGCAGATTCAACAAAAATGTGCTTCAAAACAACTGAATGAAAAGAAATGTTTAACTCTGTGAGATGAATGCACACATCACAAATTTATTTCTCAGATAACTTCCTTGTAGTTTTTATCCTGGGATATTTTCTTTTCCTCCACTGGCCTCAATGAGCTCCCATATGTCCATTCACACAATGGACAAAAACAGTGTTTCCAAACTGTTCAATCAAAAGAAAGTTTTAACTCTGTGAGATGAAAGCACACATCACAAATCAGTTTCTCAGAAAGTTTCTGTCTAGTTATTATTTGAAGATATTTCCTTTTTCAGCCTAAGTCTCAATGCACTCCAAAATATCCCTTCACAGAATCTACAAAAACAGGGTTACCAAACTGCTGGATCAAAAGTAAGGTTTAACTCTGGGGGATGAATGCATACATCACATAGAAGTTTATCAGAGAGCTTCTTTCTAGTTTTTATATGAAGATATTTACATTTTCACCGTAGGCCTCAAATGGCTCCCAAATATCCCTTCATAGATTCTACGAAAACAGTGTTTCCAAACTGCTGAATGGAAAGAAAGGTTTAACTCTGCTAGATAAAGGCACACATCACAAAGTAGTTTCTCAGTTAGCTTCCTTGTAGTTTTTATCCTGGGATATTTGCTTTTCCTCCATTGGCTTCAATGAGCTCCCAAATGTCCATTCACAGAATGGACAAAAACAGTGTTTCCAAACTGGTGAAACTGAAGAAAATTTTAACCCTGTGAGATGAAAACACACATCACAAAGCAGTTTCTCAGAAAGCTTCTGTCTAGTTATGGTTTGAAGATATTTCTTTTTTCACCATAGGCCTCAATGTGCTCCGAAATATCCCTTTGCAGATTCTACAAAAACAGTGTTTCCAAACTGCAGGATCAAAAGAAAGGTTTAACTCTGTAAGGTGAATGCACACATCATGGAATAGTTTCTCAGAAAGCTTCTTTCTACTTTTTATCTTAAAATATTTTCTTCTACACAATAGGTCTCAACGCACTACAAAATATCCCTTTGCAGATTACTCAAAAGAGTGTTTCCAAACTGCTGAATGTAAGGAAAGGTTTAACTCTGTGAGATGAATGCACATACCACAAACTGATTTCTTAGATAGCTTCCTTGATGTTTTTATCCTAGGATATTCACATTTTCTCCATTGGCCTCAATGAGGTCCAAAATGTCCATTCACAGAATGGACAAAAACAGTGTTTCCAAACTACTGAATGAAAAGAAACGTTTAACTCTGTGAGATGAAACTACACATCACAAAGCAGTTTCTCAGAAAGCTTCTTTCTAGCTTTTATCTCAAGATATTTTCTATTTCACCATAGGCCTCAATGCACTCCCAAATATTCCTTTGCAGAATGGACAAAAACAGTGTTTCAAAACTGTTGAATCAAAAGAAAGTGTTAACTCTGTGAGATAAATGTACACATCACAAAGCAGTTTCTCAGAAAGCTTCTTTCTAGTTTTTATATGAAAATATGTACTTTTTCATCATAGATCTCAATGCAGTCCCAAATATTCCCTCACACGATGGACAAAAGCAGTGTTTCCAAACTATTGAATGAAAAGAAAGTTTCAACACTGTGAGATGAATGGACACATCACAAAGCAGTTTCTCACATAGCTTCCTTGAAGTTTTTATCCCAAGATATTCACTTTTGCTCCATTGGCCTCAATGATCACCAAAATAGCCATTGGCAGAATGGACAAGGACAGTGTTTACAAACATTTGAAACAAAAGAAGGTTTTAACACTGTGAGATGAAAGAACATATCAAAAAGCAGTTTCTCAGAAAGCTTCTGTCTAGTTATTATTTGAAGATATTTCCTTTTTCAACATAGACCTCAATGCTTTCCGAAATCTCCTTTTGCAGATTCTACAAAAACAGTTTTCCAAACTGCTGAATGAAAATAAAGGTTTAACTCTGTGAGATGAATGCACACATTGCAAAGCAGTTTCTCAGAAAGCCTTATTCTAGTTTTTATATGAAGATATTTACTTTTTCACCATAGGACTCAATGGGCTCCAACATACGCCCTCTCAAGGTCTACAAAAACAGGTTTTCCAAACTGCTGAATGGAAAGAATGGTTTAACTCTGCAAGATGAATGCACACATCACAAATCAGTTTCTCAGATACCTTACTTGTAGTTTTTATCTTGGGATATTCACTTGTCCTCCATTGGCCTCAATGAGCTCCCAAATGTCCATTCACAGAATGGACGAAAACAGTGTTTCCAAACAAAAAAAGTTTTCACTCTGTGAGATGAAAGCACACATCACAAAGAAGTTTCTTAGAAAGCTTCTTGGTAGTTATTATTTGAAGATATTTCCTTTTTCACCATAGGCCTCAATGTGCTCTGAAATATCCCTTTGCAGATTCTACAAAAACAGTTTTTCCAAACTGCAGGATCAAAAGAAAGGTTTAACTCTGTGAGATGAATGCACCCATCACAGAATTGTTTCTCAGAAAGCTTATTTCTACTTTTTATTTTAAGATATTCTCTTCTACACCATAGGTCACAATGCACTCCCAAATATCCCTTCACAGATTCTACAAAAACAGTGTTTCCAAAGTGTTCAATGAAAAAGAAAGGTTTAGCTCTGTGAGATGAATGCACACCTCTCAAAACAGTTTCTCAGAAAGCTTCTTTCTAGTTTTATTTGAAGACTTTTTTTTCACCACAGGCCTTAATGGGCTCCCAAATATCCCTTCGCAGAATGGAGAAAAAATGTTTCCAAGCTACTGGATCAACAGAAAGATTTAACTCTGAGAGGTGAATACATCAATCACAGAGCAGTTTCTCAAAAAGCTTCTTTCTACTTTTTATCTTAAGATATTTTCTTCTACACCATGGATCTCAAAGCACTCCCAAATATTCCTTCACAGATTCTACAAAAACAGTGTTTCCAAAGTGTTGAATGAAAAAGAAAAGTTTAACTCTGAGAGATGAATGCACACATCTCAAAGCAGTTTCTCAGAAAGCTTCTTTCTAGTTTTTATTTGAAGATATTTTCTTTTTCACCACATGCCTCAATAAACTCCCAAATATCCCTTTGCAGAATGGAGAAAAACAGTGTTTCAAAGCTGTTGAATAAAAAGAAAGGATTAACTCTGTGAGACGAATGCACAAATCATGAAGCAGTTTCTCAGAAAGCTTCTGTCTAGTTTTTATTTGAAGATATTTTCTTTTTCACCATAGACCTCAAAGTGCTCCCAAATATCCCTTCACAGAATGAACAAAAACAGTGTTACAAAACTCTTGAAACAAAAAAAGAATTAACTCTGTGAGATGAATGCACACATCACAAAGCAGTTTGTCATAGAGCTTCCTTCAAGATTTTATATGAAGACATTTACTTTTTCTTCATAGGACTCAATGGGATCCCTTATGCCCCTTCACAGATTCCGCAAAAACTGTTTCCAAATGGCTATTAGAAAAGAGAGATTTACCACTGTGAGGTGATTGCACACATCACAGAACAGTTTCTCAGAAAGCTTCATACTAGTTTTAAGATATTTTCTTCTACACCATAGGTCTCAATGTGCTCCCAGATATCCCATGGCATAATCTACAAAAACCGTGTTTCCAAACTGCTGAATGAAAAGCAAGATTTAACTCTGGAGATGAATGCACACATCAGAAAGCAGTTTCTCAGCAAGCTTGTTCTAGTTTTTCTCTGAAAATATTTTCTTTTTCACCATAGGCCTCAATAGCTCCCAAATATCCCATTGCAGAATGGACAAAAACAGTGTTTCAAAATTGTTGAAACAAAAGAAAAGAATATCTCTGTGAGATGAATGCACACATCACAAAACAGTTTCTCTGAAAGCTTCTCTCTAGTTTTTATTTGAAGATATTTCCTTTTTCACAGCAGGCCTCAATGCGCTCCAAAATATCCCTTCGCAGATTCTGCAAAATCAGTGTTTCCAAAGTGCTGGATCGAAAGAAAGGTTTACCTCTGTGAGATGAATGCACCCATCACAGAACGGTTTCTCAGAAAGCTTATTTCTAGTTTTTATCTTAAGATATTTTCTTTTTCACCATAGGTCTCCTTGCACTCCCAAATATCACTTCCAAGATTCTACAAAAACAGTGTTTCCAAACAGCTGAATGAAAAGGAAGGTTTAACTCTCAAGATGAATGCATACATCACATAGCGGTTTCTCACCTGGCTTCCTTGACTTTTTTATCCTGGGATATTCACTTTTTTTCCTTGGAGTCAATCATCTCCAAAATGGACATTGGTAGAATGGACAAAAACAATGTTTCCAAACTATTGAAACAAAAGAATCTTTATCTCTGTGAGATGAAAACACACATCACAAAGCAGTTCCTCAGAAAGCTTCTATCTAGTTATGGTTTGAAGATATTTCCTTTTTCACCATAGGCCTCAATGGGCTACCAAATATACCTTCACAGAATGGACAAAAATAGTGTTTCAAAACTGTTGAATCAAAAGAAATGTTTAACTCTGTGAGATGAATGCACAAATCACAAAGCTGTCTCTCAGAAAGCTTCTTTCTGGTTTTTATGTGAAGATATTGACTTTTTCACTGTAGGACTCAAAGGTCTCCCAAATATCCCTTTGCAGATTTTACAAAAAAGGTTTTGCAAACTGCTGAATGAAAAGAAAGGTTTAAATATGCGAGATGAATGCATACATCACAAATCAGTTTCTCAGATTACTTCCATGTAGTTTTTTTCCTGGGATATTCACTTTTCCTCCATTCATCTCAAAGAGCTCCCAAATGTCCATTCACAGATTGGACAAAGCAGTGTTTACAAACTGTTGAAACAAAAGAAATTTTTACTCTGTGTGATGAAAGCAGACATCACAAATCGGTTTACCATAAAGCTTCTGTCTAATTATTATTTGAAGATGTTTACTTTTTCACCATAGGCCTCAATGCACTCCTAAATATCCCTTCACAGATTCTACAAAAACAGTGTTTCCAAATTGCTGAATGAAAAGAAAATTCTAACCCTGTGAGATGAATTCACACATCACAAGGAAGTTTAACATAAAGCTTCTTTCTAGTTATTATATGAAGATATTTACATTTTCACCATAGGCCTCAAAGGGCTCCCAAATATCCCTTTGCAGATTCTACAAAAACAGTGGTTCTAAACTGCTCCT
>NC_000009.12:63842264-63918447 GCF_000001405.40 Homo sapiens | reverse complement strand
GAATTCCAGAACACTGCGACGAGTTTCTGAAACTTTGTCCATAACATTGGATTCCAAAACACTCTTGCTGTTGTTTGAATGTTTGTCCATCACACAGGATTCCAGAACACTGCTGCTGGGGTCTGAATGTTTGTCCCTTACAAAAGATTCTAGAACACTGCTATGATTGTCTAAATGTTTGTCTCCAATACAGGGTCCCAGAACACTGTGACGAGTGTCTGAATGTTTGTCCATAATATAGGTTTCCAGAACACAGCTGCTGTTGTTTGATTGTTTTTCCCTCACAGGATTCCAGAACAATACTGCGATTGTATGAGCGTTTGTCCCTCACATTGGATTCCAGAACACTGCTTCGAGGTTCTGAATGTTTGTCCCTCACATAGAATTACAGAACACAGCTGGTGGGGTGGAAATGTTTGTCCGTCACATAGGATTCCAGGACAGTGTCACGAGGGTCTGAAAGTTTGTTCCTCACAGGGGATTCCAGATCACTCCCGATGTGTCTGAATGTTTGTCCCTCACACAGGATTGCAGAACACTGCTATGATGGTCTGAACGACTGTCACTCAAGCAGAATTCCAGAACACTGCTACTAGGGTCTGAATGACTTTCCCTCACATAGGATTCCAGAACATTGCTGCTGGTTTCTGAATGTTTGTCCTTCACATAAGATTCCAGAACACTGCTGCTGGTGTCTACATGTATGTCTATCACATAGGATTCCAGAACACTGCTGCTGGGTTCTGAGAGTTTCTCCCTCATGCAGAATTCCAGAACACTACAACGAGGTTCTGAATGTTTGTCCATAACACAGGATTCCAGAACATTCCCGCTGTTGTTTGAATGTTTGTCACTCACATAGGATTCCAGAACACTAACATGAGGGTCTGAATGTTTGTCCCTCACATAGGATTCCAGAATACTGCTATGAGGGTTTGAATGTTTGTTCTTCGTTGGGGATTCCAGAACACTCCTGCTCTGGTATGAATGTTTATCCCTCACATAGAATTCCAGAACACTGCTATGAGGGTCTGAATGTTTGTCTCTCACACAGAATTCCCCAACACTGCTATGAGGGTCTGAATAATTACCCTACCATAGGGTTCCAGAACACTGCTGCTGGGGTCCAAATTATTGTCCCTCAGATAGGATTCCAGAACATGCTGATGGGGTCTACATGTATTCCCATCACATAGGATTCCCGAACACTGCTGCTAGATTCTGCATTTTGCTCCCTCACATAGAATTCCAGACGAGTGTGACGAGGGACTGAATGTTTTTTCGTATCATAGGATTCCAGAACACTCCTGCTGTTGTTTGAATGTTTGTTCCTCACACAGGTTTCCACAACACAGCTAAAAATGTCTGAAAGTTTGTCCCTCAGATAGGATTCCAGAACACTGCTGCTGGGGTCTGAATGTTTGTCCCTCACATAGGATTCCAGAACAGTGCTACAAGGGTCTAAATGCTTGTTCCTCACAAAGGATTCCAGAGCACACCTGCTGTGGTCTGATTGTTTGTCCCTCACATAGGATTCCTGAACACTGCTGCTGGGGTCTGAATGTTGGACTTTACATAGGATTCCAGAACCCTGATACGATTGTCTGAATGTTTGTCCCTCACACAGCACTACAGAACACTGCTATGAGGGTCTGAATGTTTGTTCCTCACATGGGATTCCAGAACACTGCTATGATTGTCTGAATATTTGTTGCTCACATAGGTTTCCAGAAAACTTCTGCTATGGTCTGAAAGTTTATCCCTCACATAGCATTCCAGAACACTGCTACGAGGGTCTGAATGTTTGTCCCTTCACATAGGATTCCAGAACGCTGCTGCTGTTGTCTAAACGTCTCTCTGTCACATAGGATTCCAGAACACTGCTGCTGGGTTCTGAGTGTTTCTCCCTCACGTAGATTTCCAGAAAACAGGGACAAGGGTCTGAATGTTTGTCCATAACAGAGGATTTCACAACACTCTCGCTGTTGTTTGAAAGTTTGTCCCTCCCTAATGGGGACAAATTTTGTGTCTCTATTTCCTTCAGTTCTGCTCTGATTTTAGTTATTTCTTGCCTTCTGCTAGCTTTTGAATGTGTTTGCTCTTGCTTCTCTAGTTCTTTTAATTGTGATGTTAGGGTGTCAATCTTGGATCTTTCCTGCATTCTCTTGTGGGCATTTAGTGCTATAAATTTCCCTCTACACACTGCTTTAAATGTGTCCCAGAGATTCTGGTATGTTGTGTCTTTGTTCTCGTTGGTTTCAAAGAACATCTTTATTTCTGCCTTCATTTCGTTATGTACCCAGTAGTCATTCAGGAGCAGGTTGTTCAGTTTCCATGTAGTTGAGTGGTTTTGAGTGAGATTCTTAATCCTGAGTTCTAGTTTGATTGCACTGTGGTCTGAGAGATAGTTTGTTATAAAGTCTGTTCTTTTACATTTGCTGAGGAGAGCTTTACTTCCAAGTATGTGGTCAATTTTGGAATAGGTGTGGTGTGGTGCTGAAAAAAATGTATATTCTGTTGATTTGGGGTGGAGAGTTCTGTAGATGTCTATTAGGTCCGCTTGGTGCAGAGCTGAGTTCAATTCCTGGGTATCCTTGTTGACTTTCTGTCTCGTTGATCTGTCTAATGTTGACAGTGTGGTGTTAAAGTCTCCCATTATTAATGTGTGGGAGTCTAAGTCTCTTTGTAGGTCACTCAGGACTTGCTATATGAATCCTGGTGCTCTTGTATTGGGTGCATATATATTTAGGATAGTTGGCTCTTCTTGTTGAATTGATCCCTTTACTATTATGTAATGGCCTTCTTTGTCTCTTTTGATCTTTGTTGGTTTAAAGTCTGTTTTATCAGAGACTAGGATTGTAACCTCTGCCTTCTTTTGTTTTCCATTTTCTTGGTAGATCTTCCTCCATCCTTTTATTTTGAGCCTATTTGTGTCTCTGCACGTGAGATGGGTTTCCTGAATACAGCACACTGATGGGTCTTGACTCTTTATCCATTTTTCCAGTCTGTGTCTTTTAATTGGAGCATTTAGTCCATTTACGTTTAAAGTTAATATTGTTATGTGTGAATTTGATCCTGTCATTATGATGTTAGCTGGTGATTTTGCTCGTTAGTTGATGCAGTTTCTTCCTAGTCTCGATGGTCTTTATATTTTGGCATGATTTTGCAGTGGCTGGTACCAGTTGTTTCTTTCCATATTTAGCACTTCCTTCAGGAGCTCTTTTAGGGCAGGCCTGGTGGTGACAAAATCTCTCAGCATTTGCTTGTCTGTATAGTATTTTATTTCTCCTTTGCTTATGAAGCTTAGTTTGGCTGGATATGAAATTCTGGGTTGAAAATTCTTTTCTTTAAGAATGTTGAATATTGGCCCCCACTCTCTTCTGGCTTGTTGGGTTTCTGCCGAGAGATCCGCTGTTAGTCTGATGGGCTTCCCTTTGAGGGTAACCCGACCTTTGTCTCTGGCTGCCCTTAACATTTTTTCCTTCATTTCAACTTTGGTGAATCTGACAATTACATGTCTTGGAGTTGCTCTTCTCGGGGAGTATCTTTGTGGCGTTCTCTGTATTTCCTGAATCTGAACGTTGGCCTGCCTTGCTAGATTGGCGAAGTTCTCCTGGTTAATATCCTGCAGCGTGTTTTCCAACTTGGTTCCATTCTCCCCATCACTTTCAGGTACACCAATCAGACGTAGATTTGGTGTTTTCACATAGTCCCATATTTCTTGGAGGCTTTGCTCATTTCTTTCTATTCTTTTTTCTGTAAACTTCCCTTCTTGCTTCATTTCATTCATTTCATCTTCCATTGCTGATACGCTTTCTTCCAGTTGATCGCATCGGCTCCTGGGGCTTCTGCATTCTTCACGTAGTTCTCGAGCCTTGGTTTTCAGCTCCATCAGCTCCTTTAAGCACTTCTCTGTATTGGTGATTCTAGTTATACATTCTTCTAAATTTTTTTCAAAGTTTTCAACTTCTTTGCCTTTGATTTGAATGTCCTCCCATAGCTCAGAGTAATTTGATCGTGTGAAGCCTTCTTCTCTCAGCTCCTCAAAGTCATTCTCCATCCAGCTTTGTTCCGTTGCTGGTGAGGAACTGCGTTCCTTTGGAGGAGGAGAGGCGCTCTGTTTTTTAGAGTTTCCAACTTTTCTGTTCTGTTTTCTCCCCATCTTTGTGGTTTTATCTACTTTTGGTCTTTGATGATGGTGATGTACAGATGGGTTTTTGGTGTGGATGTCCTTTCTGTTTGTTAGTTTTCCTTCTAACAGACTGGACCCTCAGCTGCAGGTCTGTTGGAATACCCTGCCGTGTGAGGTATCAGTGTGCCCCTGCTGGGGTTGCCTCCCAGTTAGGTTGCTCGGGGGTCAGGGATCAGGGACCCACTTGAGAAGGCAGTCTGCCCATTCTCAGATCTCCAGCTGCGTGCTGGGAGAACCACTGCTCTCTTCAAAGCTGTCAGACAGGGACATTTAAGTCTGCAGAGGTTACTGATGTCTTTTTGTTTATCTGTGCCCTGCCCCCAGAGGTGGAGCCTACAAAGTCAGGCAGGCCTCCTTGAGCTGTGGTGGGCTCCACCCAATTCGAGCTTCCTGGCTGTTTTGTTTACCTAATCAAGCCTGGGCAATGGTTGGCACCCCTCCCCCAGCCTCGCTGCCGCCTTGCAGTTTGATCTCAGACTGTTGTGCTAGTAATCAGCGAGACTCTGTGGGCATAGGACCCTCCGAGCCAGGTGCAGGATATAATCTCGTGGTGCACCGTGTTTTAAGCCAGTTGGAAAAGCACAGTATTCGGGTGGGAGTGACCCGATTTTCCAGGTGCCGTCCGTCACCCCTTTCTTTGACTAGGAAAGGGAACTCCCTGACCCCTTGTGCTTCCCGGGTGAGGCAATGCCTCACCCTGCTTTGGCTTGCGCAAGGTGCATGCTCCCACAGACCTGCGCCCACTGTCTGGCACTCCCTAGTGAGATGAACCTGGTACCTCAGATGGAAATGCTGAAATCACCTGTCTTCTGCGTCGCTCATGCTGGGAGCTGTAGACAGGAGCTGTTCCTATTCGGCCATCTTGGCTCCTCCAGGATAATCATTTTTTAAAACATTTTGGAAGTTCTTTTGAAACTGACTTTTTAGATTATGAAAATATCTCAGTGATAGGTTTTGGTTTTCCAAGTTAGACCTTATTTTATTTTAGAAACTTTCAAAGTTATACAAAACAAAGCATGTGTCTCTGTGCATTTTGTTTCCTCTCCTCCCTTAATGCTAAGGAGGGGTTTCTTCACTTTTATAGGCCAAATGCTCCACAAATGAATGTGTTAACGAATGAACAAATTAATAAATGACATGAATGAAAGCTCAAACTGCATAAAAGTATATTTACTTAAAAATGAGAGGTGACGATTGCTAACATTTCATAATCATACTCTGTCCTGACCTCTGCAAGCCACAACTTTGACAATAAAGAGGAAAGAGGATCCAGTCCCTAAATACCGCAGGTTCACTAAGACCTTCCGACATGCCCGAAGAAGATACACTTGCAGAGGAGAAATGATGATGCAGAGGACTGCTCCGAGATGCAGGAGGAAGTTTAATTACCTGTGAATTTGACTGGGATGGAAGGGATGAAACGAGGTATGAAAGGAAATAGATATTTTTTTAATTCCTGACTAGACAGTAACTGCCGTCCTTCTCTTCTATCTGCCCATGTGACTAGGTGATAACTGCCATCCTTCTCTTCTATCTGCTCCTGTGACTAGGCGATAACTGCCATCCTTCTCTTCTATCTGCCCCTGTGACTAGGTGATAACTACCCTCCTTCTCTTCTATCTGCCCCTGTGACTAGGTGATAATTGCCCTCCTTCTCTTCTATCTGCCCCTACCTTGGGCCCCAAATGACTCAGCACTAAAGTGTCTTCAGCAGGCTCCAGTCCAAAAGTGGCCTCTATGGGCACCACCTCCTGCTCTGCTGCCCTGCCTCGCTTTCCTCCTCGGCCTTCCCGGATGAATGACAGATGTCATTCCCAGGTTCCCTAACACTCAAGTCTAGCCCCTCAGTTTCTAGCAAGCATCAAGCTTCACTGTGTGTCTAGCCTCTCAGGAGTCAGACCTCAGAAGTACAGCTTGGTGTAAATTCAGAGGCAGGGAAGAAAGAAGGAAGGAAAGAAGACCCTGAGCTGGGTTCATACACATCATCGCAATTCATCCACACCGCAGTCCTGTGAGTTATGTGCCATTGTACTCAGAAAACTGAGGCTCAAAGAGATTGAGCAACTTATCGAAGACCTCACAGGTCCTGAGAGCAGACCCTGGATTTCAAACACCTCGGAGACTCTGAAATCCATGTTACCTCTTCTATACATGAGCCCAAAATGCAGCTGTACATCAGCAAGACTGACTTCCTCTTGTGGCTTATCACTATCTCTGAATACAAGAATCCTCAAAATGTTTTATAAGCAACAGTAGCATCATGGGAATAAGTTGGCAAGTTCCCAGCATTACTGCTTTAGATGCACTTGAACTTTTTCTCCATGTATAGAGTCAAGAATAAGGAAAAAGGATCCAAAAGAGGACAGAAATAAAATGGGACTGAGCCTTATAATTCTTGACCAGAACAGATAATGTTGGGATTTTCCTTACTTTTTTTTCCAGACAAATCCAATAAAGACATCTGTTTCTGTTACCTAAAACCAACTTGAAAAGTTTGCTCCCTCCCACCTTAAGCGGCTTTGTATAGAGCCCACAGTTGAACATTGGCTCCTACAGCAAAGATTGATTTCAAAGTTTTTATAGTATTATTCAAGGCACGTTTGATTTCAGCCTTGGCAACCATGGGCAGAATATCAGCAATGTTCCCTGTATTAGCTATTGGAGAGAAAATACTGTGAAACTCTAAGACCTTGGTTATTGGGCCAATGAAACATTTATGCCCTGATCAGATGAAGCAAAACTTCGGCAGGGTTAGTGAGCCACCTTCCGAGTGTACCAATGAAGCTCTTGCCTGCTGTTTCAGATAAATGACTCTCATTTCACTGTTGGCTTGTGCTTGAGAAGATTATTCAATTGATTCCAGTTGTTTGCAATGCCTTGAAGGCAAATAACGTTGTAGGATCCACTGTCCTCATAATACACTGTTTCTTTTCTAAGGAAGGTTGTTGTCTTAATACCCTAGATAACAACAGAAAATATTCTGCTTCTTATATTAATTTTGCTCTGGAATAAGTAAATGTAACTACCAGAATGCTAATGAGGATGTTACACTGATGTTTATTTGTGTGTTCTAATCTGTAGATAAACAGCAAGGTCTCTTTTAATTCATGATTCTAAGTCTCAGGCCACAGCAGGACAAGTATCAAAACATCTTTTCTCAATTCGGAGTTGAGATTTCTAATAAGAATTCTATTTTCTCCATAATCATAAAATAGCACCAGGAAAAGTCAATATCTTAAAATACAGACCATTGAAAAGTAGATCTTTCTGCCCTTAACATAAACAAGCTGTAAAATCTGAAGTTAAAATTATTCCTTGTACCAACCTCCGAATTTACCCAGAGTTAACAGAAAAGTTATAGCAGTGCATGAAGCTCTGAGGTTTTGATGGGTGTAGATACAGACATCCAAAGCTGTCATTTCACACTAGTCAGAATATCAGTCATAGAAATCCCACAGGAAAAGTCACTTCTGAAGATATCTGGTCTTATGGATTAAAAAATTAAACTTTCTTATCGTTGTACCTAAACCGAAATATGCTTCCTATACAAAGAAGTTTTATTTCAAGAGTTAAGACCACCTTCCAACATCCCCCTTAACACACACACACACACACAGAGAGAGAGAGAGAGAGAATTGAGAGCATTAGTGGCTTTCTCCCTTAGACTGATTTTTTCTTACTGTTATTTTCAGCCACTTTGTTAACGGTGGAGTTAAAGGGCAGGATATATGTAACACCCATTTCACATACATGTTGCAACATCAGAGATGATGGTTTTCATTAAAAACACCAGTTCTAAATTCCTTCTAAAATATATTTTTAAAAATCAGTACACTTGGCACCTTGGAAATGCTGAAATGTTATCATGAATGCTGGTTACTAGTTATGAGTCAACTGAATATTATCTTCAATATAAACTATAATATTCTGGTCTGAACACTCTTCCTATCTTATCTGTATATATTCAAAGGGAGCAATTTCTCATGTTTAGCAAATTGTTCTTCAGGTAATTTGTTCTTTAGGTTTTTTGTACAAAAGTACAAAATAGTTATCACAGCAAACTTTCCAGTGTTTTTTTATTTTGAAGCTATATATTTTGGAGTGAACTTGGTTTTCTTTTAATTTTTTTTTTTTTTGCCATGTCAGGCTTGAGCAGGATAGCAAATATATAAATTGAGCTCTCTAATTATAATCTCAATATATGAATTCTTGCTAATTAAAATACTTTGCACCAGCAAAAACAATTTCCACATATGTGTTTAGGTGGTAGTTAAGTAACTCCATATAAAAATAAGGGCACTTTCCCCTCCTTTCTTCAGTGACTAGAAAACTTCCATACTTTTAAAATAATCAAATAATAATTTAGAAAGCAACAGCTCTCGACTCTTTGCTGGTGCTTATCACACTGCCTTTCTTCACTCCATTCTTAGCTCTGCTAGTTCCTTCTTGTCTGTAATGATAATAAGGGAATGTGGGTGGGTCAGCTCTTCTGTGTAGGTCCCCTTTCCAAATTTGTCTTCCAAAAAGCCAACCAGATAAACAACCAAAAAATTGTGCAACAAAACACAAATAGCATTCCAACAGCTTGGGAAGTGATGCATTCACCTGAGATTAAGTGGTTTTAGGCTGTCAGTAACAAAATTCTGCTTTACTGTCTTATTAGAAAGGCAACAAATTCTTCAAAGAAACCAAGAAGTTTACAACCTTGACAAAGTCTCTCATTACCTTCCTCCTCTTATGTCTTTTCTCTCCACATTATCTGTTGTGTATCTACTATAGAAGGCTGCAAAACATACAGCAGAAATGATGGCTTGAAGGCAATTGATGTTTGTAAATAAATACACAACAGGATCCAAGCTGAAGAGGTGAACACATCAGCTGGGTGGGACAATTCTCAGCATGTGCAAGCATAGAAAAATTCTAGCCTATGTTACATTAAAAACAATGTCACTGCATTTTTTCATGTCAAAGATTTTTTCAAAGCTAAAGCATGTTCCTTGCTGTGCTGACCACAAACAAGTTTTAACAGTTTCGGAAGTCTGGCAAAAATAGAAAAAAAAAAAAAAAAAGCTGAAGCAACATTAAACCGCACAATGTAAGCATTGGGCATGCACAAATTTTCAAAACAAAGGAAGGAAATCATCCCTCTCTACAACGTGGTTAGGCTGATTTTTAAGAAATAAAATGTAAGAAATCAGAAAAGCAAAGGTTAGGCACCTACATATCCAATATCTGGCACCGCGCAGAGTAGAAGAGTGAAAGAAATAATGAAGAACAAAGTGGTTACTTTGCTTCAGGAGTTCATGATCTATAGTTAGAAACCAATATAAACATTTTGGGTATATTTCAAAGAAAGAGCAAAAGCAGGCCGTGTGTGGTGGCTTGCACCTGCAGTAATAACACTTTGGGAGGCCAAGGTGGGAAGATTGCTTGAGCTCATGAGTTTGATACCAGCCTGAGAAATATAGTAAAACCTCATCTCTATAAAAAAATTAATTAAAAAAAGGCAGAGCAAAAACAAATATGAAAGAAAACATTAGAAATCAGAGCTTGGGCAAAGAGTTCAACGTGAGCAAAGCAACTCTGCCCTGGGGGACCTCTGGAGCATCCCAGCTTCCTGTAGAGGCCCCACCACATGGCCCTTTCCCATCACTGGGAACCATCTTCTGTATCATGCCAGGATTTTCCCCCAAACTTCTCAACCTAATTTATTCAGCCAAAACTTATATATTTCTTGAATCTTTACTAAGAGCAAGGCACTGTTCAACATAATGAAAATATGGCAATGATTTAAAACAAAAATGTTTACCCTCATGCAAATTACATTCCAGTGAGAAAAGACAGTTCATTAATAAAATAACTATGGAAAATATATAATATGTCAGAAGGTAATAAGTGGCACAGAGAAAAATTAAGTGTGGAAGGGAGCTCAGGAATGCTGGGAGCGGGTAGATGTGAAGGTAGTTAGAATGCTCAAGGAGGGAGTAATAGGCAGAAGAATGGCCTTTCTACATGTCCATATCCCTATATGGCAAAAAGGACCTGTGGATGTGACGAAGTTATGGATCATGAGATGAGGAGATTATTCTGGATTACCCAGGTTGGCCCAATGTCATCACAAGAGTACTTAAAAGCAAAAGAGGGAGGCAGGAGAGTCTCAGGCAAGACGCATGACAGCTAGGTTCAGAATGATGTGGTTGCTGCCTGGAAGAGGGCCGGCGCCAAAGGATGCAGGCATCCTTTCAAAGCTGGAGAAGGTAAGAAAGTGTTCTCTCTCCCCTAGAGAGAGTTTGTGTTCCCTTAGGCTACTAGAGGTGTGCTAATTTATTCCAGCAGTCATAGAAAACTTATATAGAAGGTCTCACAGAGAAGATAACATTTGAACAAAGATTCCAAGGAGGTGAGGGCACCAGCTATGCAGATATCGGGGGAAGAGCACTCGAGGAAGAAAAGGCAGGCAAACAGCAGGGTGCGTAGCCCATGTGCATGAAGTAGAGAACACTGGGAGTCAGAAGGCTAACAGGAGACAGGTCAGAGAGAGGGACTGGGGTGGGTCAACTCACACTCAGCCTCACTGGCTATTGTTAGAACTTTGAGTTATTCTGAGACACTGAGTATAGGAGAGTCTATGAATATTTATAGAAATTCTGAACGTTTACAGGATGAATAAAAGTTGTATGCTAGTAAACCTATTGGTTGGGTGGGGAGAAGCCCAGATTTGTAGCATTTGCTGATTTCCATTGTGTAAATATTTCTACTGATGGTTTGACAAACACTTCAAAAAATTTCTGGGTACTTAATTATCAGCTCCAGTAGAGTGCTGCATGTATGACACCCCATTTGCCAATTCCACACTAGATTCTACTGGGAACAAGCTGTATGAGAGTCAACTGGCGGCAGAAATAAGGAAGTCCTCAATAAAAATCAGCATTTACTTTTGACAGATGTGAGATTCTGGAACTTATTTCTCTTTACTAGCTCTGCCTGGTGATTAAATTATGATTTTAAAAGAAATAGTTTTAATTTCTTATTAGAATGCTGCCACCAAATAAATAAAATACATACTTTAACTATATGCAATATTGTCTATATTATACTGTTGTCAACAGAAACATTATCAGGGGCCAACTTCATGAAAGGAGATATGTGATAGAAGATGGAGTTGTTGGAATGAAAAAAAAAGTCAAATTTTACTTTGGATCAATCAGAGGGAAGAAAGCAGACAGATAGGAAAAGAAAGGCAGGCTTAGCCAAGTTGAAGAAAGAGGCTGAACTCAGGAGGTAGTGGGAGAATAGGGTCATAGTTTGAAGAGAGCTGCGAGGCTGTTAATCTAGGTGAGGATCATAATCCCAGAAGACCCAGTCACAAACACCATAACCCTGAATGTTGAAATCCCGAAAGATCAAAATTCCTAAGGTCTAAATTCTTTTTTTTAATAGAGACAGAGTGAATTGGTTAATTCTCATACTCCCAATAAAGACATACACGAGCCTGGGTAACTTATTAAAGCAAGAGGTTTAATTGACTCACAGTTCAGCATGGCTGGGAAGGCTTCAGAAAACTTAGAATCATGGTGAATGCAAACAAGAATCAAGTCACCTTGTTCACAAGGCAGCAGGAGGTGCTGAGCAAAAGGGGAAAAGCCCCTTATAAAACCTTCAGGTATCACTCACTGTCATGAGACCAGCATGGGGTAACCACCCCCATGATTCAATTACCTCCAACTGGGTTACTCCCACAACATGTAGGGATTATGGAAACTACAATTCAAGGTGAGATTTGGGTGGGAACACAGCCAAACCATATCATTCTGCTCCCAGCCCCTTCCAAATCTCATGTCCTTACATTTTAAAACATGATCATGCCTTTCTAACAGTCCCCCAAAGTCTTAGCTCATTCCAGCATTAACCAAAATGTCCAAGTCCAAAGTCTTATCTTAGACAAGGCAAGGCCCTTCTTCCTATGAGCCTGTAAAATCAAAATCAAGTTAGTTACTTCATAGATACAATGAGGATATAGGCATTGGGTAAATACACCTGTTCCAAATGGGAGAAATTGGCCAAAATGAAGGGACTGCAGGCCCCATGCAAGTCCAAAATTCAATGGGTCAGTCAAATCTTGAAGCTCTGTAATGGTTTCCTTTGACTTCGTGTCTCACATCCAGGTCACACTGAAGCAAGAGGTGGGCTCTCATGGCCTTGGGCAGCTCCACCCCTGTTGATTTGCAGGGTACAGCCCTCCTCCTGGCTGCTTTCACAGGCTGGTGCTGAGTGTCTGTGGCTTTTCCAGGCAATACGGTGCAAGCTGTCAGTGTGTCCACCATTCTGGAGTCTGGAGGATGGTGGCCCTCTTCTCTCAGCTCCACTAGGCAGTGCCCCAGTGGGGACTGTGTGGGGGCTCTGACCCCACATTTCCCTTCTGCAGTCACTGCCCTAGCAGAGGTTCCCTATGAGGGCTCCGTCCCCATCACAAATTTGTGCCTGAACACCCAGGCGTTTCCATGCATCCTCTGAAATTTAGGTGTAGGTTCCCAAACCTCAATTCTTGACTTCTGTGCACCCACAGGCCCGACGCCTCATGTAAGCTGCCAAGGCTTGGGGCCTTTACCCTTTGAAGCCATGGCCTGAGCTGTACATTGGCCCTTTAGCCATGATTGGGACACAGGGCACCAAGTCCTGAGACTGCACAGAGCAGCAAGTCCCTGCACTGGGCCCATGAAACCATTTTTTTCCTCCTAGGCCTCCTGGCCTGTGATGGTTTGAGTTGCCTTGAAGGTCTCTGACATGCCCTGAAGACATTTTCCCATTGTCTTGGTGATTAACATTCAGCTCCTCTTTACTTATGCAAATTTCTGCAGCTGACTTGAATTTCTCTCCAGAAAATGGGTTTTCCTTTTCTATCTCATCATCAAGCTGCAAAATTTTTAAAACTTTTATGCTTTGCTTCCTCTTGAACACTTTGCTACTTAGGAATTTCTTCTGCCAGATACCCTAAACTATGTCTCTCAAGTTTAAAGTTCCACAGATTTCTAGGGCAGGGGCAAAATGCCATCAGTCTCTTTGCATGGAAAGAGTCACCTTTACTCCAGTTCCCAACGAGTTCTTCATCTCCATATGAGACCACCTCAGCCTGGACTTCATTGTCCATATCACTATCAGCATTTTCCTCAAAACCATTCTGCAAGTCTCTAGGAAGTTCCAAACTTCCTCACATTTTTCTGTCTTCTTCCGAACCCTGCAAACTGTTCAACCTCTTCCTGTTACCCAGTTCCAAATTCACTTCCACATTTTTAGATATCCTTATCGCAATGCCCCACTACCTCAGTACCAATTTACTGTATCAGTCCATTCTCATGCTGCTAATAAAGACATAACCAAGCTTGGGTAATTTATAAAGGAAAGAGGTTTAATTGACTCACAGTTCATCATAGCTGGGGAGGCCTCAGGAAACTTTCAAGCATGGTAGAATGTGAAGGGGAAGCAAGTCACCTTCTTCACGAGGTGGCAGGAAGGAGAAGTGCAAGCAAAGGGGGAAAAGCTCCTTATAAAACCATCAGATCTTGTGAGAACTCACTATCATGAGAAGAGCATGGGGGTAACTGCCTCCATGATTCAATTACCTCTCACTGGGTCCCCATCATGATATGTGAGGATTATGGGAACTACAATTCAAGATAAGATTTGGTTGGAGACACAGCCAAACCATATCTTGGGGTCTCACTTTATTGCCCTGGCTGATTTCAAACTCCTGGGCTCAAGTGATCCTCCTGACTTGGCCTCCCAAAGTGCTGGGAACACAGGCATGAGCCACCATGCCCAATCCTAAAGTCTAAATTCTTAACATCTAAAATCCAGAAAATCACAATCACAGAAGAGTTGTACCACGTTAGTTGCATCGTGTTAGGTACAACTGTTGCTTTGTTTTCTTTTTATTTGGAAATTATGTATGGTTTAAGGAGGTCCATATGAGTGCCAAATCTACAAGGGGTGGACTTGCAGACTTAATTTCAGGTGTCAACTTGACTGGATTAAGGAATCCCTGGAAAGCTGGGAAAGCATTATTTTGGGTATGACTGTGATGGTTTTCTCAGAAGAGATCAGTGTGTGGGTCTGAGCGGACTAGGTGGGGAAGATCTGCTGTCACTGTTTTGAATGTCTTGAATATCACAGAAGAAGTTAAAATGAAAGTAAAAAATGCACAAAATCTTGTCTGCGAAATTATGTAATCATGTACCAAGCACCTCTACACGTAGCACCATGCTTGCCTTCACAAAATGCCTTTTGTCAGGTAATAAAAATAGTTCAACAAATTCAGTGGCCTTCTGAGCCAGACAACTTCTGGCACAGAGCTTCCTCCAGTGCTACAAGACATATTAAATCATGAACTATTCTTGATTAGGGATTTGACTGTCAAAAAAGATAAACATATTTGTTTAACATAACAAAACTGGTGCATGTTTCACTTTGGCTGATGAACGGCACTTTCAAAACTGTCCCCAGTGGGTTTTTTAAATCAACTTTTTGCAGTTTATGCCCCCATTGGATTACAAAATTCTGTAATTTAAACTGCATGTTTATGGTTTAATAACTGGAAAAAGTGAAGTACTTTATAAAAGCTTATTTGAAGATTTGGATGGCTTTGCAGAAGAAAATAGATTTCAATTGGATCCCCAAGTTATAATGACAAGTTTTTAATTAGGTGTGATCAAGGCTTCTAAAAGTGAATTGCAAGTTGTTACCAGTAAAGTTTATATCTTCCATTCAGCCCAGCTCATTTGCCAGAAAATTCAGGTGAGTGGATTGGCCAGGCCATATGGCAATGATGAAAATTTTAGTTTAAAAATGTGTCATTTGTCTGTATTGGCATTCCTTCCACCTGATAAAATTCCAGGAGCTTTTGATAAATTAAAACCACAATTGCCTGAAGAAGCCAGAAATATTACATGCTGATTTGAAAATAATGATGTGCAAGGTAGGATAAGAAGTCATTTAGGCAACGGTGTTGCTGTTCAATCAAGAGTATTGTTTCTGCCAAATGAGTGGCCTGTATATGAGGGCCTGCAAAATGGATTTCCACATACTCAAAACAATAGACAAAAATGGCATAGAAGATTGGAAAATGTAACAGGAAATGCTCATGTCAGTGTGTATCAAATTATAGAAGAATTTCAAAAAGAGCAGTGCCATGTAGAAAATGAATGTGAATGTATTTTATGAGAGTCAAATCCTAAAAACAAAAAAGGCAAGAATTCATCGTGATGCAAGACTTCAAAATATAGTTAATGATCATGAAAGCCAGCCAGCTATGATGAACTCTGCAATTGCTCATAATCTATCCATGTAATATACTTTTTATATGTCAATTTTCTTTTTAGTGTTTCTTTTTCCATTTTTTCCACTAATTTAAATTGTCAGCATTATTTTTTACAACTTGCTACGCTATGTATTTCATCTTAGTATCATTTCCAATACTGGAGGTATAAATTTTGCAAAGACTTTTAGAGAGTTCTAATTTGTTTTATGAGTTTTTTTTTTGCAAATTTGACTCCACAAGAGTGTATTATCACAACACTGACTTTGTGTGTAAGCATTGTACATGTACATAAAAACATTAAAGTTTCCTCAATAAATGAGAAGAGATCCTTTTGCACATTTGCATTTGGGAAAAGAAAATTCCTTAGGATCTCAGCTCTTTGACTGAATATTAGATGGTGACACATCCCAGCTTTTGATGAATCTGGTCAAAAGACTTAGGTTGTCCGTCACAGTATTCCAGATGACCTAAGTTATAAAGCTGAGTGCACCCAGTTACCAACCATGCTTTTATATATTTTGCTTTTTGACCCATTTCTTTACAAATACAACTCATCTGCTCATTACCATTATACCCGTGAAACTATCGTTAGCATACCTGAGTTTTACGCTTGCAAATATATGCATGTTATTATTGCCTATTGATTGTGTAAAGTGGCCTAGGAAGGGTTCTGTTGTGTTTTTATACGTTTCTCAAATAAATTCCATCTTAAAAATATAAATAAATGTTTTTTGTTGTTGTTGTTAGACAGAGTCTCACTCTGTCGCCTAGGCTGGAGTGCAGTGGTGCGATTGCAGCTCACTGTAACTTCCACCTCCTGGGTTCAAGCGATTCTCCTGTCTCAGCCTCCCGAGTAGCTGGGACTACTGGCACCCGTCACGATGCCTGGCTAATTTTTTCTACTTTTAGTAAAGATGGGGTTTCACCGTGTTAGCCAGGATGGTCTCCATCTCCTGACTTTGTGATCCACCCACCTCGGCCTCCAAAGGTGCTGGGATTAAAGGCATGAGCCACCATGTGCTGCCCAATAAATTCTTCTTAAAGAATGTGTTAATAATTTTTTTCCAGAATTGTATTTTGAGAATTTTGTTTTTTTAGGATTGTAATTTTCAGGATTTTAGACTGTACAGATTTAGATCTTATGGGACTTCAACATTTGGGATTATGACGTTCAGGATTGTGTCTTCCTGGGCTGTGGCCCAAACCCGTGTGGTCCAACACTATTTCACATGAGAGGAAAGCAAACCACGTGCACAGATGCAATGAAGGCTTAAATGGGCGTCACGTATAGATTATATCCCAGGAAAACATGATTATGATGATACATGGCAACTTTTTTTCCCAGTGAAACAGATCCACATTCTTTTTCTTGTGTGGAATTAAACACAATTTCTGAATCAATGTAAGTGAATGCAAATCACCATGTTCACTTAGCTGATGCTCCTTTATTAACAGGAATAGAAGGGAGGTCATTCGAAGAGATGATGGCGTGGGACCCAGGACCTGAGGAAGCTGCAGTGGGTGAAGGGGAAAAACAGAGGAGCAGGGGCTGGAGAAAGAGTGGGGAGTCATCAACTACCCTCCTTACTCCTGGTGTCTGGTGTTCGGAACCCAGAGGTCTTCTCTAGGGCCTCGGAGAAGCTTCCAAGTCTGTTCATTTCTCTTTCCCCACCGCTGCTTGTATCACAAATAAAGAAATTATTGACAACTGAGCTCCTGACTAGGTGGCATGATTTTAGGGACCCTTCACCTCAACCGAGCCTCATGAAGGTAGTGGGAGTCCCATGGGTTAGTTAGCAATAGTCCTTGAGATTATTTGGTCATATAAATAATCAGAAAACTCATAGTCATCTTTCTTTTCTCATAATGCCCAGCTGGGGGATGGTGGGGGCAGGGAGGACTGGAGTGAGAAGAGATAGAACCAGAGCTGGCTTTCATGTATGGGGCTCTCCAGAGCAATCAGGACTAAGTACAACCAAGAGGGGTCTTGAAGCAGCTCTGGCGAGGGCAGCCTGGGCTTAGGCCCCAGCTCACACCAAGCATGTCACCTGTCGGACTGGAAGCTTAAGCAATGTGTTTCTGTTTTTGTTTTTGTTTTCTGGTAAAGAATTCAACGTCATTAGCTACATTCACAATGCTGTGCAGTCATCATCACTATCCATTTCCGAAACATTCTATCATCCCAGACAGGAACTCGGTGCCCATTAGACACTAACCTCGCCCATTTCCACCTCCTGCCAGTCCTGAAAACCTCTATTCTACTTTGTGTCTCTATTAATTTGCCTGTTCCAGGTTCTTCATATAGATGGAATCAGGTAGTCTGTGTTTGACGTCTCACTTAGCATAATGTTTTTATCTATGTGGTAGCAAGCATCAGAATTCCTTCCCTTTTCAAAGATCACTAATATTCCATTTTATGTCTATACCACATTTTGTTTATCCATCTATCCCTCAATAGACTTTTTAGGTTGTTTCCACTTTGTGGTTCCTGTAAATAAGGCTGCTGTGATGCTGCAATGAACACAGGTGTAGCAGGCAGGTGTGGTGGCATGCGCCTGTAGTTCCTGCTACTCAGGCATCTGAGGCAGGAAGATCACTTGAGCCCAGGAGTCCTGAGCTGCAGTGTGCTGTGTTGATCAGATGTCTACACGAAATTAGACATTAGTACAGTGACCTCCTGGGATAAGGGACTACCAGGTTGCCTAAGGAGGGGCAAACCGGCATGGATTGGAGACAAAGCAGGGCACAACTCCCAGTTTGACCAGCAGGGGGTCATGCCTGTGGACAGCCCCGCAGCAGGGAGATCGTGCCTGTGGACAGCCCCGCAGCAGGGAGATCGTGCCTGTGGACAGCCCCGCAGCAGGGAGTTCGTGCCTGTGGACAGCCCCTCAGCAGGGAGATCGTGACTGTGGACAGCCCCTCAGCAGGGGGTCATGCCTGTGGACAGCCCCGCAGCAGGGGGATCATGCCTGTAAACAGCCCCACAGCAGGAGGATCATGCATGTAAACAGCCCCACAGCAGGGGGTCATGCCTGTGGACAGCCCCTCAGCAGGGGGTCGTGCCTGTGGACAGCCCCGCAGCAGTGGGTCGTGCCTGTGAACAGCCCTGCAGCAGGGGTCCGTGCCTGTGGACAGCTCCGCAGCAGGGGGATCATGCCTATAAACAGCCACGCAGCAGGGGGTCATGCCTGTGGACAGCCCCGCAGCAGGGGGTCGTGCCTATAAACAGCCCCTGCACTCCAGCCTGGGAAACATAGTGAGAGCCCATTTATTAAAAAAAAAAAAAAAAAGGGGGGTGGGTGGGGAGAGAACACAGGTGTACAAGTATCTATTTGAGTAACTGCTTTCCATTCTTTTGAAGATAGATATAGGTAGATAAAGATACAGATATAGAGATTTATAGATGTGAGTGGGATTACTGAATCATATGGTAATTCTATGTCTAAATTTTTGAGGAACGGTATGTTTTCCACAGCTGATGTGCTATTTTTCATACCCACCCTCAATGCACAAGAGTTACAATTTTTCCACATCCTTGTCAGCACTCGTTATTTTTCTGGGTGTTTTTGTTTTGTTTTGTTTTGAGGCCGAGTCTCCTTCTGTCTCCAGGCTGGAGTGCAGTGGCGTGATCTCGGTCACTGCAACCTCCGCCTCCCAGGTTAAAGCGATTCTCGTGCCTCAGCCTCTCAATTAGCTGAGATTACACGTGTGCCCCCATGCCCGACTAATTGTGTGTGTGTGTGTGTTGTTTTTATTTTATTTTATTTTATTTTTTGGTACAGATGAGGTTTCACCATGTTGGCCAGGTTGCTGTCAAACTCCCGACCTCAGGTGATCCCAAAGGGCTGGGATTACAGGTGTGAACCAGCGTGTCTGGCCCCTGATTTTTCTGTTTTTTTCTTTTTTGATAGCAGCCATCCTAATGGGTGTGCAGTGTGTGTGTGTGTGTGTGTGTGTGTGTGTGTTTTAATGTCACATTGGTGATTCTAATGTGTAACCAGGAAAGAAAAGCATGGATTCTGGGTCTCAATTTTTCATCTAGGTAAACCGTAGCAAATAAAGCTTATTGAAGAGTTCTCCTGATGATTGAATGAGTTCCCCCATAGAAGGCAAAATCTACAAATGTTTGTTCCTCTCTTACTTCCTTGGAATTCTACTAAACTTCCTGCCTCAACATACAGAGACACTCCCTGAAGCCTAAAACTATGCAGATTTGACACAGGGCTGATTTTAACTTCTGTTTTGCTTTTACCATATAGCTAGCTGCAGATGTCACATGTGTCCTCCATGACATCCAAATAGCACTACACCTGCACCAGCTTTCCTCTCAAATTAACTACTCATCAGTTCTATTATTAAACAAACAAGGAGCAGCTGTAATACTGAAGGAATGAGTGGGATTGTGCTTTAAAATTACATCTCTGCCAACACTTTTAGTTTGCTTGTTGAATAACTACAAGTTTTCCAGTTAAATTAATAGAATACATTATACCCATAAAATCCTGAAATACTTGGCAATACACACAACAAAATATTGTACAAGTAGAGAATATAATAAATGTATGACACTTTAGAAATTCATTGAGGTAGGTTTAAACAGTGTTTACTTTTAATTGGTGTACTTTTTTTCATCTCACAGTATTAAGCTGTGGTTTAGTTTATCGGCTGAATACTCACTGTGCAGTCCTTTGTAAAATTTTGGAGGTCCGCAGTAATGTGATTATTGAGCTTCAACAGAATACACAGAAGATCCCAGGAACCACAAACTAATCCATCCACTATGCAGTATCTAAAGTGTTTGCAAAAATAAAAACAAACAACAACAAAAAAAGAAAACTGAACAACTCACTTGTAGCAAAGCTATCAGGTTAGTGCAAAAGTAATTGTGGTTTTGCCATTGAAAGTAATGAAAGTAATTGAAAGTATAGGTATTCTAGTTGGACATGCTACAATGCATGCCACAACCATGGATCAATTATGTATTGAAAACCCAAATCAACTGAGGATCACTGCTGTGCATTATTCCCATCGTGTCATAATGTGGCAAACTAAAACTAAGGACCTGTAACAAGGGATTTCCAGAGGGAAAGCAAACATTTGTTAAAGCAAAGAAAACTGGCAATTTTCAATTTGCTCAAATCAAACTATTCACATACTTTGTATGCTTCTCTACAAAATCCAGAACTTTTGATAGGATCACCCTTAGGTAAAACTCTAAAGTGAGCAGCTTCTGATCAATAGGCCTCAACTTCTTTTCCCTTCTGTATCACAGACCGTGTGGGTGAATCCATCACATGACTTGATAAGATTTGGCCAGTTGGGAAAGGTCTCTTTAAAGAACTAACACTCAGGCTGGGATCCAGAGCAAAGCACTGTAAACTTGAATGTGCATATGAACCACCTGGAGACCTTGTCAACATGCAGATTTTGATTCATTGGATCTAGGGTGGTGCCTGAGCTCTAGCAAGCTCCCAGGGATGCCTATGTGACTGCCTTGTACATCAGTTACAGTAGCAAGAACATAAGCAGATACCAGCCAACAAATCAGGAGTGAACGCATCACGGCCCAGGCAGCCCTGGACCAGGCCAGCTCAGGGATCTGAGAAAAGAGTAACTGGACTGAGGTCTATGAGTGCTTCCATGAGAGGTGAGGCTGAGAAGGTGGACAAGATCTAGGTCAATGTGTTAAGTTCCTACTACATGCAAGGCTAGGCTCTGCATAAACAGAAACAAATAAGGCAAACCTAGTCCTTGCATCTTTAGAGCTTGCAGTCTAGCAGAATTATTTCATGGGTAGAAAATCATTAAAGATTTTTTAACGAAGGAGAGACATGATCTAATTGAAATTTTTGAAGAACCTCTCTGGGTGTGCCATAGAGAAGGTATTGGAGAGGCAAAAAGTTGGAAAGAGGAGTATATGTTTGCAGACCAGGTGAAAGATGCAGATGACAGAAGCGGATAATTTTAGCACATATTTTGCAGGTGAAATAGCAGTAATTGGTTACAAATTGTGATGGTAGCGGGGGTTGCAGGAAGAAGAAAGCATCAAGGATGATGATGCTTTCTGGAAGAAGCAAATGGGTAAATGGAGATAATTTTTATGAAGAATGGTAAGGCTGAAAAAGAAATAAACTAACAAAAGGGAAATGATTGAGGAAGTGGCATAGATGTGGGGGCAGAACTCGAGTTTTGAATTCTGATTTTAGGCATGCCTGTGAAAATCCCAGTGGAGATTTCAAGATGGCAGGTGCACATAATGTTTTGGAGCTTGGGAGGAGAGGTCTGTAGGAGTCATATGCGTATAAATGGTATCTAAAGCCATAGTAATTAATAAAACCTTGTCTAGAGTCTGTGTAGGCAGGGGTGTCCAATCTTTTGGCTTCCCTGGCTACATTCGAATAAGAAGAATTGTCTTGGGCCACACATAAAATATACTAATATTAACAATAGTTGATGAGCTAAAAAAAATCATAAAATATCTTATAATGCTTGAAGAATGTTTACAAATTTGTGTTGGGCCACACATGGCCCACAGACCATGGGTTGGACAAGCCTAGTATGGGATAAGAACAGAAGAGGACCCAGGATTTAGGAACTTCAACATTTAAAGTTTGGGCAAAGAGGGAGAAGCAGATAAGAAAATAGTTCAAGCTAGAGGAAGAGGTCAGGGGTCTACTCTACTGAATGTTCCTGAGACCCCATTGGACTTATATATTACATAATATGTACAATATATGTTACTTGGGTGATGGATACCCTAATAGCTTTGAACTGACCACTATGCATGGAACAAAATTGCACATGTATCCCATAAATTTTATATAAACAAAAGTAAATAAATGGAAGGAAGGGAGAAAGAGAGAGAAGGAAGGAAAGAAAGAAAGAAGGAAGGAAGAGCAAGGAAAGGAAAGAAGGAAGGGAGAGCAAGGAAAGGAAGGGAAGGGAAAGGAAAGGAAAGGGAAGGAAAAAATGAAGGGAGAGCGAGGAAAGGAAAGGGAAGGAAGGAAGGGAGAAAGAAAGAAAGAGGAAAGAAAGAGAGAGAGAAAGAAAGAGAGAGAGAAGAAAGAAAGAAAGAGAAAGAAAGAAAGAAAGAAAGAAAGAAAGAAAGAAAGAAAGAAAGAAAGAAAGGGAAAGAAAGAGAGAAAGAGGAATAGTGTTCATGATGTTTAGGAATCACCAATTCTGGGGGTGCTGAATTGTGTCCCCCCAGATTCCTATGTTGAAGAGCTGATCCCCACTGCCTCAGAGGGACTGATTTAGAGAAGGCATTCAAAGAGGTAAGTGAGGTCCAATGAAGCCATATGGGTGGACCTTAAACCAATATGGCAGGTGTCCATGTAAAAAGAAATTGAGACACAGGCAACACAGCCTGAGGACACAGCAGGAAGGGAGGCATCTGCAAGGCAGCAGTTCTCAGAAGAAGGCAAACCTGCTGACATTCCATCCTGGATTTCCAGTCTTCAGAGCTGTGAGAAGATAAACCACTCAATCTGTGGCAGCTTGTGATGGAAGCCCCTAGCACTCTTATATGGTGACCTTAGCACAAGCAGTTTCATAGGCTTGATGAAAGTGAAAGCCAAACTGACCTGAATAAAGAGTGAAAGGAAAATGAGCAAAAGGAGATAGTAAATGTGGAAAATCCTTGAGAAAAATTTGCCAAGAAAGGAGGAGATGGCTTGATAGCTAGAAAGACACACAGAGTCAAAATTAAGGTTCCTCCAAGATAGAAGATTTTTTAAATGAAAAATTTATATTTAAATGCTGACCGACTGCATCAAGAAGGAGAGAGATTGAAGATGCAGATGACAAATGGAAAAACAATGAACAGAATCCCTGAAAAGTCAGGAAAAGGAGGGAGATTATTAGAGGGATGTCCTTTTACAGTAAGAGGAATACTTCCTCCACTGGCCCCAGGATTTAAAAAGCTTATAAATCACAGGTAACATTCTACCTAATTATAGAGCTTTACACTTTTCAATAAATTTTGTTGTACATAATACAGTCACTCTATGAATTCAGTGAGACAGTTATCCACATTTTACATAAAAAGAAAGAAAAGGCAGAAAAGAAGTGATTTGCTTGAAGTGACACAGAAATAGCTGGTAGAACCATGCACTGTGTAGATGGCAGGGCTACTGACTTCTCATTTCACACCAGAAATGTAGACAGAATTAGATATAATGACAGTTATTATATTTTTAAACCTTTCAAATAAGAATATCCTTGGAATTTCATTCATTAACAAAGCACAAAGCATGTGATTAGCATCTGAAAATGTTTTATTATACAATCACTAGACACAAAAAGAGGTTTCCATTTTCCTGTGTATTTGAAAGAGTTCAACAGCCCTAAGTCACACAGTTGGAGGAAACTCAAACAAGGGAAAGTTCGTTTGAATTGATGAAATTAGCAGGATGAAGTTTACAATACAAAGATTTTTGTTTCAAGACTCTGAGGTTTTGTAGGGAGGAAGGGGAAAGGCAGATGACACCAAATAAGACTGGTCGGAGAGGGGATGAGAAGCATCAATTAGAAAGCTCTTCCAATTCAAACGGACCGTTCAAACCATCCTAGGACTAGACTCCAATCGGGAAAGACTCTGAAGGAAATGATCTCCTACTCCCACGAGATGGCTAACGTGATTTAGGTAAAAAGCTTTTAATTTTATGGCTGGAGAGGTAGCAATGAAGAAAATGAACCTCCTGCCAGTGATTCTTTTTCAAGCCCTGCCAATTCCTGTGTCTGGGGAAGCTATAAAGAATGCCCAACCTCATGTCAAAAGAATTGCCACAGATCTCCAGCTCACCTGCATTCAAACATTGAAACATCCCTAAGCCTGCTCCTAGGCCTGCCTGGAACAGAGAATCCAGGAGAGTCTTTTCTGTTCTGCTGCTGCAGCTACACTATCTACTTGTTAGCATAACCAGGGCCACCAGCAACAGATGCTAGAGAAATACAGGGAGCAAAAATCAGCAGCTGATGAAAAGCAGAATCTTTTCTTTTTGGCAGCAATACCAATAGCATGAAGCACTTCCCTTTTGGAGCTTTCCAAACCACTTCAAAAGCGAGTTTTCTGGTGTGGATCAAGAAAGCTAGCCAAATTGCCTCTGAGTGCATAGCCAATGGCCAAGATATTGATGACTGTAGGCAGCTCAGGACCCATCCTCGGCCCCGGTGCTGTCTTTCTCAGAGCTCTGTTTAATTCCATCAGGCACAGGCAGCATTTGCAGAAAGCTGTGTTGATTTTTGTGATCTTCAGCCAGCACAGAGGTGGCCAGTTCCCTAGCCTCCTAGCACCGTCCTTCTCCTGCCCTGCCCCTTCACGGCCTGCCTGGGCTCACTGGACCCAGACTTGCCTTTCGCAGCTGTCAAAGCCTCACAGTCCTGTGTGTCTGTTTCCCTTTGAACTACGCAAACTAACTAATTTGGTGAACCTATTAAGTGAACTTCTTTATACTCCTGGTCTAGAGTGCATTGAACACTAAAGCATTTGCTAGAGATTGTCAAAATCAATTCTGTCTTCTTCCAACTGGACCAAGGCTTCTTTGAGTTAATAAAACTCTGAGAAATCTGAGTTGATTTTTCGTAGTACCTCTTTCTATTCTTTTGGGGTTTTTTTTGTTTGTTTTTTACTTTTCATGGAGATTTTCCTTAATTTAACCCAAAAGATATACCCATATGACATTTGAATATGAAAGAGGTAGTAGGACAAATAATTTGAAGACAGTCTTTCAGAGCCCCACAAAGTACTTGAAATTTATCAATAAACCCCTCCCGGTGCTTCCCACCATGTTCCACATTCCATCTCCATTTTAAGCCATGAACATTCAAGTGGCATCTCCTCCTGTGAAACCTACAGTTTGGAGATAAATTATTGATGACTAATGACTCAGAAGAACCAAAGAAAGGATCCTCTAGTGGAGACACAGCATAGAAATGGTGGTCCAGGGTGAGAAGGAACTGCTTCCAGTCCCAGTGCCGCCTGTGTGGTTCCAGCTGTGTACTTCTCTTCCTCTAATCTTGTTTACTCATCTCTAATACGGGACTAATAACATACACATCAGACTATTGTGAGGGTTGAATGTAACGATATTCCAAATTGTTGCATGTGTCCAGTACTTAACATAGTGCCAAGAACAAAGCATGTATCAATAAGTATGAACAGCCTTCCCAGCACACACCTCCAAACAGTGGATTTCTGGCCGGTGACAAGCAATGGTTCCCAGTGGTTCTACAGGTTATGGTTTAACTTACCACTAGCCAATCAGTAAGTTTGCCTCAGACCACATCACAATTCTTTTGCAAGCCTGGAGCTTGGTGAAAAACAAGGGGGAAAATAATCAATGTCCCTAAGGCAGATGCTGAAAGATTAACCTCATAACATAATTCTCTCACCAGACTTGTTTCCTGAATGTCTATTTAAATTTTTATTCTGCAAATAAAATAAAATTGGTAATAATGAAGGTGATTAAGATGGCATTTGTCCAGGGAACGAATCTCCTCACAACATACCTAAGAAAGAGATATATGTACAGAAAACGAAGCACAGTAAAATACCTCTTCATTACTATGGGAGATTTTCCCCAAACACAGAGAAAGCTCTACAGAGCTGAGCTTAAGCCAGAACTCTGTTATTTACTTGGTCTAATGCCAAAACAGGCCAGAGACCCCTTTCACCTACTTCTCTTTAATCCCAAACCCATGTCTCTGTTTGATCTAAGAAAGAGCCAAATGCCCAGGAGGCGCCATGGTAGAGAAAAGCAGCCAGCCAGAGAGTGGCCTCCATGCCAGGGGAGTGTGTCTGAGCTTTGCTTTATTTTTCTTATTTGTCTGTAGTTGTATGATTGGTAGAAGAGAGTAGATATGAAGTCTACTGACACAGGATTGGTCTTCAGGAATGTCTTACCAAGCATTTGAGGGAACAGAGGGGTTTCACAAATAAGAGAGCAATGATCAGACTTTTTCTAAAAGGAGCAGCCATAAGCTACCTTAACTCTCCAACTTGCCCATTAATCTTCACCTAGAGTTAGGAAGATTTCACCATTAGCTGTGGCCCATAAACGATCCTTAAGCTTGACCAACCACAGAGGTCCATCTCCTTGAGGAGGAAGTGAAAGGGGTATGGATGTGAACTTTCTGTCCTCTGCAGGACCCCAGCTGTGTCTTCTACTTCTTGTACAAGATAGTCTCCAAATGATGTTTTCTGGCTGACAATGCCACAGAACTGATCCTTATCTCACTATGGAAATGAAAGATTTCAAAGAATTTTGTTGCCTGAAATATGGTGCCATAATCACGTATTAATAAAGCTGCTATCCAGAAATAAGGCAGATTTCAAAAGAAAGGCTGTTAGCATTCTCAGGGACCTAAAATGTACATATTGTAGAACAATGGTAAATAGATCTTGGAATCAGGTAGACTTTAATTCAAACCCCAGATATGCCACCTATTAACTTATGTGACATTGGGAAAGCCTCTCAAATTTAGATTTGCAAAACCAGAATAATATAAGTAGCCAACAAATAGGGTTTAATGGAGGTAATAATGAAGGTTATTAAGATGATAAAATTAAATAGTGAATATAAAGTGCTTAGCATTCAATAAATTTATTGTATGATTTCAAAGCACATGCTTTTACCTACAGTGCTATAAAGCTGCTTGCAATTGTCAAAGCTAATAGAAGCTCTCGTCAGAGCTAATAGAAGCCTTGAGTATGTAATTATTTAAGAATTCTGTAAATATACACAATAGGGTAGGAATGAGAAAATCTTTAGAGGAAATATTCAAGTATGTTTGATTTCTAGCAAATCCAGATAGATAGTTTTGGCAACAACCAAGTCATAATTTGAAGTCTTTTTATAGGAGCTAAAATTTTATTCAAGGGACAACTGACTTGATTAGATAAGATGCTGTGCACTGCATGTTTGCATCAACAAATGCACATGTTGAAACTCTAACAATAGAATGGCATTAGAAGGAGGACCTTTGGGAAGTAATTTGGTTTTGATGAGGATGGAGTTCCCACAATGGGGTTAGCATCCTAATTAGAAGAGTAGGAGACTAGAGCCCTCTTCTCTCAGCCATGTGAACATACAACAAGAACACCTGCAAACCAGTAAGAGGGCCTTCACCAGACACTGGTTCTGCTGGCCCAGATTTTAATCTTTGAATTCCCACAACTGTGAGAAACAAGTATGTGCTGTTTAAGCCACTCAGTCTACAGTTGTTTGTGGAAGCAGCCTGAGCAGACAAAGACATAGGGTTCCTTTTATTTTCAGAATTCGGTTTAGCTGTAATCACCTACCATCCTGAGATGCTGTTTCCTCCCTCCTCCCTTGAAATATAAGCTCTGGAACTATAGCTTCATGGACAAATTCTGAAGAATTTGTCTTTGCTCTTGTGGGATGCTAACCTAACCAATCAAGGAATGTTTGCTCAATGGAATGAAACATCTTAATGCAGCTCACCAGCCAATATCTGCAGAGCACACCTCATGGGTTCTGGCTGGCTTGGATTTCTGAGACTACTTCATCCTACTCATCAGACTGTGGACTCAGATTGAGCCAGGAGGCCCAGATTCTAGCGTCAGTTTTGCCCTTGGGATACAAATGCACGTCCTGCTTCACTGAATATGAAACCCTATTTGGCCATTATTCTGGCAATTGTCCTTTCTCCCTGTGCCAATTGCCAATCAACCCAACTCCCAGGCAGCCTTGACAGTTATGTTTGCTTGGCCTGCTGTAGCAGCCAATGACTTAGTAAAAGTCAGAACATAGATCTGCTAGCTCCCAGTCCAGGATTTCCCCATAACTCGTCCATGTATATATTAAACAATTAGCCTTGCTTTTAAAATTCTTTTTCATTTAGCCTCTTCTTGGAACTTATCATTTTGAGAATCCTGACCTGCCAATATTCCATAATCTTTCTGAAAGTGACACAGCAAGTACGATGCATGCACACTGCTAACTGCAGCTGATTTCATTTTCCATCATCTATAAAGCACATAAGGTAATTTCTAAACCAGCAGTAAAATCTATTTATAAAGATGCTGATTTGTTTTCTGCACTTTCCAAAACAGAGCTTCAATTTATTTCCTTAACATAAAAAACCATTACTTTTTAAAACAATCATAGTTAGTATATTTTCTAAATGTTTTAATTTTTGTAAAATCCAACTTGCAAATTGGAGTGTAAATAGCTTTCTTAAAATGGAAGGGACCGTGTTAGACCCAGTATGCTGATTGATGACTTCACTGTGCTTCAAAGCAGACGATTTCACAGTCATTGGGTATATTATGCAATGAGTTTTTATAAAGTAATTGATATCACTAAAAATATAATTATAATAAATAAAATCATAGGGAAAAGGAAATCATTCTGACAATGCCAAATTTTTTATCTAACTCATTGCTAAAAGATTATGTTTCTACATGAAAAATTTTACACATTCTTTCTATGAGATAAACCTGATAACATCTTGAAAACTTAATAGTTATGGAAAAGTAACTACTATGATTTTTTTTAGAGAATGTCGTGTTCTTGGTGTTCTTGAGTGAGCGGTCTCATGTTATTAGAAGGGAAACAGCAGCATCTTGTGGACAAACAAATAAAGTGAATAAATTTTTAGGACCCGGTGCAGTGGTTCAGGCCTGTAATCCCAGCACTTTGGGAGACCTGGGCGGAGGGTAACTTGAGCCCAAGAGTTCAAGACCAGCCTGGGCAACACAGTGACACGCCGATCTTTACCAAAAATTGAAAAATTCTCTGGGCTTCCTGGCTCATACCTCAGGTCCCAGCTACTTGGAAGGCTGAGATGGGAGGATCACTTAAGCCCAGCAGGTCAAGGCTGCAGTGAGTGTGATCATACCACTGCCTTCCAGCTTGGGTGACACAGCAAGACCCTATTTCAAAAAAATTATATTTATGTAGCACTTTCTACAAGGAATACAGTATCATGTTTGTATTTAAATGACATCAGGACCAGCATGGTGGCTTACACCTGTAATCTCAGCTCCTCAGACGGCAGAAGGCAGGAGGATCGCTTGAGGCCAGGAGTTGGAAGACCAGCCTGGGCAGCATAATGAAACCCTCATTTCTACAAAAATAATAATAGTAATCAAAAGCTAGACGTGCTGGCACACACCTGCAGACCTAGCTACTGTGGAGGCTGAGTGGAAGGATCACTTTGAGCACAGGAGTTTGATTGTATTGTGTATTATGAGCTACGATCGAGCCACTCCACTCCAGACAACACGGCAAGACCCAGTCTCTAAACAAAATAAAGGAACATCAGAGCATTGTTTATAGAGATGTATAAATGATCCCAAAATGTCTTCAGGGAGATAAATCATCTAAATATAGCTATATCGACTCTTCCTAAATTCCAAATTTCGGTGGGAAAAATAAATGAGATAGAAGACTTCTTGAAATGTATCAAGACTCAGGAAGACAAAACAAAAACTTTCATTAGGCAGTATCAAGAATGTTCATTAATGCTATTTCTAATTTATGATACGATCATCTAAAGAGGACATCCCAGCAACAAGAGGCCAAAGGAAAGGGAAAAGAAATGAAAAGAACGACCATACTTTCTACACATCCAACCTCTTCTCTACCACCTCTCAGCAAGACCTCCCACAGCCAATCACTGCTTTCTCTTGCGGACTTACCCTCTACTCTGTGAACACATGAGCCAGAGAACCCTGAGAAGTCCCTGAGTCCCTTCCAGGGGCTCTGCAAGGTCAAAAGTCTTTTCATAAAAATACACAGGTTTTGTTTACCTTTGCCACTTTCATTCTCTCATAAGTATAATTAGACTTTCCCAGAGGCTACCTGACATGGGATGTCACAAGAAATTAAACATAGAAGCAGAAAGGAGAACCAAGTTTTCTTCTATTAAACCAGACTTTAAAGACATACCTAAAAATATAAAACAACGTCACTGTTCTCACCAACTTTACTGCTTAAAAATGATAATTTGAAATAAAAATGTGATTTATGTAAACATATATTATTTTATTTGTTTTAATTTCTCAGTTTTAATGTTTAACATGATAAATATAGATAGATATAATCCAAATAAATAAATGCTCTTTGGGGTCCTCAATAACTTTTAAAAATGTAAAGTGTTCCTGAAACCAAAAAGTTTGAGGACTGATGCTCTAAAGCTCATACCCTTTGATGTAGCTTCCACCCAGGTCATTTCTTAAATACTTGATCAATCATTTCCCATGTCCCTCACCCTATACTTGTTGCAAAATTCCATTTTCCTACTCCAGCACTCCCTGTCATGAGAAAGTTCCCAGGTGGTAGATATGATTCACTAAATCTTTCTTAACAGCTTTATGATGATAACATGACATATACAAATTGTATAAATTTAAGGTAACTTAATGTTTTGATATTTCTATACTTTTTGAAATGATCACCACAATCAAGCAAATTAGCATATTATCTCTACATATTTACCATTGTGTGTGTGTTGACAGTAATTAATTTATGATCTAGTCCTTTAGCAGAACACAAGAATATGATACAGTGTTGTTCCATGTTGTACATTATATCTCCAGAAATTATTATAACTTGAACATTGCACAATTTAATTAACATCACCCCGTTTCCCCTCCCTGAGCCCCTGGCAATCACTGTCCTATTCTCTGTTTTTATGAATTTGACTGTTGTAGATTCCTCATGTAAGTGAGATCATGAAGTAGTTGTCTCTGTGCCTTGCATTTTTGCTTGGCGCAATATCTTCCAGCTCCATCCATGTTTTCACAAATAGAAGGATTTCCTTCTTTTTTAAGGTTGTATAATATTTCATTTTATGTATACACGTCACATTTTCTTTACCCATTCATCTGTTCCTCTGCCAAAGGACACTTAGGTTATTTTCATATTTTGGTCATTGTGTGTCATGCTGCAATGAACAGGGGATGACAGACACCTCTCTAAGACTCTTATGTCAATTTCACTGGACATACATCCAGAAGTGAAATTGTTGGATTATGTGGTAGTTCTTTTTTTTTTATTTTTGAAACCGGGTCTCACTCTGTCATCCAGGGTAAAGTCCAGTGGCAAGATCATAGCTCACTGCAGCCTTGAACTCCTGGGCTCAAGCGATCCTCCTACCTCAGCCTCCTGAGTAGCTGGGACTACAGGTGTACAACAACATGTCTGGTTAATTTTAATTTTTTTTCATAGATGGGGTCTTGCTATGTTACCCAGGCTGGTCTGGAGCTCCTGGCCTCCTGCCTTGACTTCCCCAAATCCTGGGATTACAGGTGTGAGACACCACACCAGGCCAGTGCTATTTTCAATTTTCTTTGGAAGAACCTCAATACTGTTTTCTGTGTTTTACTAATTTGCATTCCCGTCAATAGTGTATAATGGTTTTCTTTTCTCCACATTCTTACCAACACTTATCTTTTCTCTTTTTGATAATAGCCATTTTAACAGGTGTGACATGATATCTCATTGTGGTTTTGATTTGCATTACTCTGAAGTTTAGAGATGTTGACAACATTTTCATATACCTGTTAGCCATTTGAGTTTCTTCTTTTGAGATGTATTTATTTAGGTTATTTGCCTTAAAATAAAATTAGGTTATTCATAATTTTGGAATTGATGTGTATGTGTCCTTCTTATTTTTTGAACTCCTTATAAGAGATATGGTTTAAAACATTTTCCCCATTTCATAGGTTGCATTATCATTTCATTAGTTGTTTTCTTTGCTGTGCAGAAGCTTTTTAGTTCGATGTAATTCATTTATCTATTTTGCCTTTGTTGCCTGTGCTTTTGGCATCATATCTAAACAAATTATTGCCAAGACCAATGTCAAGAATGTTTTCTCTTGTCTTCTTCCAGGAGTTTTATGGTTTCAGTGATTACATTTAAACGTTTAATCCATTTTGAGTTAATTTTTACATAAGGCGTGAGCAAGGGATCCGATTTCATTCTTTTACATGTAGACATCCACCTTTCCTAACACCATTTGGTCAAGAGCATATCCTCTCCCTATAGTGTCTCCTTGTCACCTTCCAGGGTGATCAATTGCTGCAAATGTGTGGGTTATGCCTAGGTTCTCTATTTTGTTTCACTGGTTTATGTGTCTGTTTTTATGCTAGTACCATAGTGTTTTTTCTTTCTACAGCTTTATAATTTAATTTGAAGTCAGGAAGTGTGATACCTGTAGCTTTGTTCTTGCTCAAAATTGCTTCTGCCACTCAGGGATTTTTGTGATTCTATATGAATTTTAGGATTTTTTTTTCTATTTCTGTGAGAGATACCATTGGGATTTTGATATGGATTACATTAAATGTGTAGATTGCTTTGAGTAATATGGACACTTTAATAATACAGTACTAACTCTTTCAATCCATGGGTTGTCTTTCAATTTACTTTGGTTTAAATTTCTGTCATCAATCTTTTATAATTTGTAGTGTTTAAGTCTTTCACTTGTTTGGTTAGTTAGTTCCAAAGTAGTTTATTTGATACTGTTTTTTAAATTTCCCTTTCAGACAATTCTTTGTTAGTTTTTAGAAATAGCAATGATTTTTGTATGTCGATTGTGTATCCTACAACTTTAGTAAATTTATTATATAGTCAGTCCTTCATATCCATGTGTTTTGCAACCATGAACTCAATCAACTATGAACATAACTTGTACACATTTTCCATCTGTGGTGGTTTGAATCCACAGATGTGTACCCATGGATACATAGGGCCAACTGTACACGATTTTATGTGAGGGAGTTGATCATCACAGATTTTGTTATCTGAGGGGGTCCTGAAACAAATCCCCAGCAGATATGAAAGACTGACTATATTATTTGTAACCATTTTCTGTGGAGTCTTTACAGTTTTCAATGTATAATAATCATGTTTTCTGTTAACAGAGGTAACTACATCTTTCCTTTCAATTTTGATGCCTTTTATTTCTCTTGCCTGATTGCTCTGGCTAGGATTTCCAGTACTATGTTGAATAGGAGTGATGAGAGTAGACATCCTTGTCTTGTTCCAGATATTAAGAAAAAGCTTTCAGTTTTTCCCCACTGATTATAATATTAGATATAGGTTTTTCATATACAGCCTTTACAGTGTTGAGGTAAGTTTCTTGTATACTTATTTTGTTGAGAGTTTTATCATGAAAGTATATTGAATTTTGTCAAATGTGTTTTCTGCATCCATTGGAATGTTATTTTTATCTTTCATTCTGTTAATGTGGTATATCACATTATTAATTTTTACACATTGAAACATCCTTGTATCACATAGATAAGTTACAATTGGTCATGGTGTATGACCTTTTCAATGTGCTTTTGAATTCAGTTTGCTAGTTAGTATTTTATTGAGAATTTTTGCATCTATATTCGTTAAGGATACTGGTCTGTAATTATTTTTTCTTGTGTTGTCTTCGTCTAGCTTTTAAGTCATGGTAACATCGGCCTCATGAAATGAGTTTGAGAGTATTCTCTCTTCTATTTTTTCTGAAGAGTTTAAGAAGTTTTGGTGTTAGTTCTTCTTTGAATGTTTGGTAGAAGTTGCCCATGAAAGCATCTGCACCTGGGCTTTTCTTTGTTGGGAAATTATTGATTACTGATTAAATCTCTTTGCTTGCTTTTGGTCTGTTCTATTTCTTTTTTGTTCCATTTTGGTAGATTGCATCTTTCTAAGAATTTATCCATTTATTCTAGGTTATCCAATTTATTGGCATATAATCGCTTAATTGTCCTTTATAATCATTTGTATTCCTGTACATTTCCTATAATGTCTCCATTTTCATTTCTGATTATATTTACTTGAGTTTCTCTTTTTTTCTTAGTGTAGCTAAGGGTCTGTTATTTTTGTTTGTATTTCCAAAAATTCAACTCTAACTTTGTTGATTTTTCTATTGTTTTCTATTTTATAGTTATTTTATTTATATTCTAATCTTTATTATTTACTTCATTATGCTAACTTTGGGTTTAGTTAGTTTCTCTTTTTCTAATTGTTTATTTGTAAAGTTAGGTTGTTCGAGTTAGATCTTTCTTATTTTTTAATGTAGGTATTTAACACTGTAACATTTCCCTCTTAGCACTTCTTTTACTGAATCCTGTAAGTTTTGTTGAGTTGTATGTTCATTTTTGTTTGTCTCAAGATATTTTTAAAATTCCCTTTTGATTTCTTCTTTTACCCAATGGTTGTTTAAGCATGTGTTGTTTAGTTTCTGCATTTTTGTAAATGTTTCTGTTTTCTTTGTTATTGACTTCTAATTTTATTCCATTGTGGAATGAGAAGATACTTGGCATTATATCAAACTTCTTAAATTTGTAGTATGCCTTGTGACCTAAGATTTGATCTATCTCAGAGAAGATTCTGTGTGCACTTGAGAAGAATGTATATTCTGCTGCTATTGGATGGAAAGTTGTGTATCTGTCAGTGTTTAATCTACTGTGTTGTTCAAGTCAGCTGTTTCCTCTTTTTTTATTCCCTCCTAGATGTTCTATCCATTATTGAATTTGGGGTACTGAAGTTGGCTACTATTATTTTAGTGTTACTGATTTCTCCCCTTAGCTTTGTTGATATTAACTTTATATATTTAGGTGTTCTAATGTTGGGTGGATATATATTTTCAATCTTCCCATTGGATTGAACTTTTATCATTATATAATGACATTCTTAGTCTCTAGTGACAGTTTTTGATTTCAAGTCTATTTTTTCTGATCTAAATATAGATACCCTTGCTCTTTTTTGTTTACCATTTGTGTACAGTATCTTTTCCCATCCCTTCACTTTGAGCCTCTACGTATCTTTATATCTAAAGTGACTCCCTTATAAATATGTACTGATGAGTATCTTTTATGCATTGTGCCACTCTATGTCTTTTAATTAGATAGTTTAATACTTTCACATTTAAAGTCATTGTTGATAGGTAAGGAGTAACTTGCGTTTGGTTAATTGTTTTTCATATGTTTTGCAGTTCTTTTTTTTTTTCCTCTCTTGCTGTCTTCTTAGTTTGGTTATTTCTTGTAGTGGTTTGGTTTCATTTATTTTTCTTCACATTCTGTGTAGCTCCTATAAGCTTTTGATTTGTGGTTGCAAATTTACATCTTCTATAAGCAGATGTCTTAATGTTATCAGCTTTTTTGGAATCATTTTCTTTCTGTTTCCTCTTCAGACATATTTGCAAATACTGTTTTTCAAGACACAAGTAAATAGGGTTCTGGTTAGAAATTTATCAATACGAAAAAAAAGATCCTCTGAGTCTTTTGATAAGTTAGAAAATAATGAGAGACTGCGGTAGAATGTCATGTATTTCAAGCTCTGTCATCTATGTTACTCTGCAATATATTTTCTGTGTGTATTAGTCAGTTATATATTTATAAGGTAAATCCATAAAGCATACATTCTAGAATGCCCTAACTTAAGTCCTTAAGAGATATGCTCCTTATAGCCTTCTTGGCACTCCTGAAGTGTTAAATATTTCCATTGAAGAAGGTTGTATATGGCTTCTGAGATGAAGTCTAGACAGGTTAGGATTATTTTTTGCTCCTTTTGCCCACACAGCACCCACTGTCCCCTCCCTTTGTTATTAGCCATTATCTGATACCCTAGATGAAGCCATCTTCTATCCTTCAGTTTTGGCGTGGTGGCTGATTTCACCCCCAGTTTCAGGAATAAGCACAGGACAGCTACTAACAAGTATGTTGTTCACTCAAGGAAGAAACCCAGCTAAGGGAGAAAGGGGGGTTGAAATCCAGCCTGCATGCTCTTCTCCAAGCCACATGCCCTGATACAGGGCTGCATCTAACTGGAGAAAGGGGAGCCATTTTCTAATACTTGCAAAGGCACTGTGTGGACAGTGGAAACCCTGTATGAGCTCATGACACAGGCCTGGCCAATGAATATACTTCTAATCCTGGCACAGATGAAACTAGAAATGGACATGAAATCCAAGCCTCACACCCAAAGTCAATCTCTAGTCTCTTATTGAAACTATTAGAAGTGTTTCTGTTTTTGCTTTATTCTGGGGCTGTGGAACTAAGGAAATGTAAACTGGGGGAGTGATGATGGCCACATTGCAGCACAAAGGGAAAACTTGTCTGAGAATAAAATCAATGGGGAAGAAAAAAGCAAGGAAGCTGAGAGGAGCCAAGTCCTGAGTCCCTACATTCAGCCATTCTGAAGCTACACCCTGGATTTTTCCATTATACGAGTCCACAAATTAATATTTTTTTTTGGCTTAGACCAGTTTGAGTTTGAATTCTATTATTTATAACCAAAGGAGTCCTACCATATTATCTTAGCCGGATTTTCATAAACACGGTATATGTTGATCAACAAACTTCCTAAATGTTTCAAGTTCACTCCAAAGAGTGAGGGGAAAAAAGAAAGAAGTGGAAGAAAATAGTTACTTATCATCCACAGTAGTCAAGGAAGCTTCAGAAGCATCAAGCAAAAGCAGCAGAAGTTAGCTTTGTACTCCCACAAACCCTGCTCTGAAGTACTCCGCCTAGTGGCCCACAGCAGAAGCTGCATTTCTAAAATCTTTAAAAAGACAGAAAAGGAATCGCCACTTACCCTGGGAACCCTAACAGGGGAGCAGGCCATATGGGAATATGTCCCATTGGTTTGAGGTCGATAAGTCCATTTTCAAAGCTTTAGTAATTCCAGAAACAAGAACATGTTTATTTTACTTTGATCACACAATGCCTAGTTATATTAAAAGGAGACATTCAATAAATACCTTTTATGGAAATAAAAACAGACAATTTAGGAGAAAATTAACTATCGATGCATTGTTTTCAAAGGTAAAGAAAAAAAGAAATTATTCTGAACACACAAAACTATTTTATCAAGTATCATGGTAAATTAGCATTATATACTAGGTCACTTAATAAATTTCCAGAGATGATTGGAAAGAGTTTCCACAATAGATTTTGTTTCACCCCAGGAAGAAGTTTCACAAAAAGTTAGTTACTTATCTCCATTGTTACTAGTACCAAACTAATCCTATCATTCTGAGTCTAATTACAAATAACGTCCACACTTTTCTCCAGTGAGATCACAGGAGATGCCTAAGTGGAGTGTGTTTTAATGTGAGGGGATAATTGGTTTATATTTTTCACTGAAAATATCAAATTCTAGACAACTTAAGCGAAATAGGAATTCGATGAAAGGATATTGAATAGTTCACAAAATCACTGAAGATGCTGGAGAAGCAAGGTAAGAACTGAGGGAAACTCAGCACAGCCAAGCTCATTCGATGGAAGCAGATCTTGGGATGCCACCACTAGGATGTTGCCATTTGACACTTGTCACCATGTAGCTGGGCTCTGCTGAACCTAGGACCTTGCTGCCACATTCCTGGACCTGCATCTCTGCTCAATGTCTCAGAATCATCTCTGATTCTTTCAGGTCTTTTGCATCATTTCATCGGGTTCCAAGTTCTAATAAAGAGACATCCGTTGGCTGGGCCTAGATATGTGCCCACACGTGAGTGGCCAAGAAACTGGAAAAAGGATCATGCACTCCTTTCAGCTTTTGTAATGGAAGGTGGGGCCTGTCCTCATATTTCGCTTGGGGTTCAAAAAACTAGGAAGGGTGTTTTGTTGAAATGAAACCCAAAATTATAGCTATCCATTTATAGCAACTTATTTGTACAGGAAGAAACCATGAGACAAAATGTATAAAAGTGCATGGGAGGTATAAACATATGAGGGGGTTTCTGAGGAGAGAAAGATCATACTTGATTGGTGCCATGGTTTCACTGTGCCTCCTCCAAGATTCAGCGTTGACAATGTGATAGTGTGGAGATGGAGCCTACAGGAATTGATTAGGCCATCAGGACTCCTACCTCAGGAATGGGTTTAGGAGCCCTCATGAAAGGGCTCCATGGAGGGAGTTCATCCCTCTTGCCCTCCCGCCTTCCACAATGTGAGGACACAATGTTCCCTGTCTCTGGAAGATGCAGCATCAAAACACCATCTTGAATGGAGAGAACAGCCCTTTCCAGACATCAGACCTGCCAATGCCTTGATCTTGGACTTCCTAGTCTCCAGAACTATGACAGATAAACGTCTGGTTTTCATAAATTGCCTAGTCTGTGTTATTTTGTTGTAAGAGCATAAATTGACTAAGACAATTGGGGATTAGAAAAAGTTTTTTGAAGTGGCATTTGAGAAGGGCTTGATAGATAAGATCTCTACAAATAGAAATAGAGAGATGGTTTGAAATCACCCAGGTGAAAGGAGTAACACAGCCATGTTCAGTCTGAATGCAAAACGGAGATGGTAAAAAGTACATAGGATTCCACCACCAGTGGGAGGACAGAATTGCAATGTGGCAGCAATCTGTAAATATAATATTTATCACTCATTCACATTTATTTAGAGTCTAATGTGTCCTAGGCTCCGAAATTAAGCAAAGAAAATCTAGATATGCATAAGTCCAAGACTTTGCCTTTGTGACAGTCAAAATAATGACCCCATAAAGATGTTCTAGTCACTGGAATCTGTGACCATATTACTTTACATGGGGCAAAAGGGACTTTGGAGATGTGATTAACCCTTAAGTTAGGGGGATTATCCTTGATTATCTTGGGAGCCAATCTAATTGCATGTGTCTATAAAATCAGAGAATCTTTCCTAGCTACAGTCAGAAGGTGATATGGCTACAGAACAATGGCCACAGACATCCCACATTACTAGCTTTGAAGATGGAGGGATGGTCCCATGATCCAAGGAATAGGGACAGCATCTAAAAGTTGGAAAAGGAAATGGATTCTCTCTAGAGCCTCCAGAAAGCAATACAGCCCTGACAACACCTTGACTTAAGCCCAGTAAGACCACAGTCAGAGGTTTGCCCTACAGAACTATAGGGTTGTAAGTCTTTGATTTAAGCCACAAAGTTGTGGAAGTTTGTTATGGCAGCAATAGAAAATTAATTTTAAGAACTTTATTATTTGGAAGATAGGCAGACCAGACAATCCAAATTATAATATAATTCGATTAAAACCTATGGAGATTTGGGCTAGGTGTTTTAGAAAAGAATTGAGTATTAACAGACTAACAGAAGAAATGTTCTAAAATTTACACACTAAGTACATCACATTTTTCTAATGATCACTTTGACAGAGCAACGTTGATCACGTTGATAGATCACGTTGATAGAGCAATCCATGGTTTTAACAAACCAACAGGCTTATATACATATATATAAAATACTATATATATAATATATGGCATAGCCCCATGGGCATGGGTAGCCCTGGGTCAAAGGGCGGCACTGTACTAGCAGCCCACACCCCACCTCACCTGCCTACCCTGAGCTGACTTGTCTGCTAAATGATAAATAAACCTGTCAACCTGTCTGTTTTAACTTAGAAGGGCCTGGATGCAACAAGCCTGAGGGCTGTGACTGGGGGAAGAGAGAGCACAGACGGAGCTCCTCCTCCTTCTTCCACTGCCCACCAACTGAAAACCACCAACTGAAGTATGCTTAGATTCTCAGCCTACACCTTGTTCCCAACAAAACTCATGCAATACTTTGGCCCCCACTACAATCTCTGGAATAAAATATTCTACAGATCTGCTTTTTGAGCTGCAACTTATCTTACTAAATTCCAAGAAGCTTATGTAAGAGAAAACCACCAGATAATACAAGATTTTCAATGTGATCATCATTGCTACTTTTAACTGGAAATTATCCAGTAAATGTATTGTGAACTGCTTTGGGACTATGGCGATTTGTTTAGTCTTTCTGATCCTTGGTTTGATTATCTCAAATACATGAGTATCACCAATTTTATAAAGTTGCTCTAAAAATTAAATGAAAGAAAAATAATCCTCCTTCTCCATATATTGAACACTTACAAAATTATTGGCATTGTGTCCAGGTTTTTATATACTTACCAGATAGAAGTCTCCTAACAACGCTCTCTTTTAAATTACAAGCATTTTGCCATGGCATTTACACATGTACGTTATGGAAGCCTCGTAAGAATCACATCTTTTATAGATCGGCAAACTGAGGCTCAGACGAGTTAAAAACACATTCACCATCAAATCATAATGAGGGATGGAACTGGGATTCAAATCCGGTTCTCTCTGATGCCAAAAATGGTGCAATTTAACGAGCACCAAGTTACAGCCAGAACATGGAGGGATCAAAATATGTGGATTCCCTTTTCTGCCCCCTCATGTGGGAATTTCAATAGCTTTCACTGCCTCAGAGAAATCCTAAACTCCCTCCCAGGTTGCCTTGCAATGGCCCCCTTATTCGTGGGGATGATTAGGAATCTGCATTTTTGGACCACAAGCATCTATAAAGAGTTGTGTTGATCAAAAAATAAAATTTTCTAGGCCATAGGTTACTGTGAATTATCTAGCTTCTCTGCAAAAAATAAAGGGGCTATTCCATGTAAAAAAAACACAGGATCCACTGAATCTGTGCAGAAAGACATAGAACTATACTGCAGAAGCATCTTACAGACAGCTGCCCCTGAAGACCAGCCGAAACACACAAAGCAAGAGCACCTCCAATGACCAGGTGTGGTGGCTCTTGCCTGTCATCCCAGCAGTGTGGCCAGGGGTTTGAGACCAGCTTGGGCAACACAGTGAGACCTTGTCCCTACAAAAAAAAATCATTTTTTATTATTCGAATCAAGAAGAGTACCTCTAACCCCTTGCCGTTGCTTTAGGGTTGATAGCTCTGGTCTAGAACTCAAGATATGAAACTGTGAGTCCCAGTGTAGCTACTTAAGTTTAAATACAAGAGCTGTCAGACATTTCCTCTAAAGCAACGAAATCTGTAGCATCCATTTTGTACTTTGAAAACTTAGTTTTTGGCCAGCCTCTAGGAAGAAGAAGAGGGCCCATAACTGGGCATATGGGTAGGGAGGAGAAAAGAAACCAGCTGGATGCAACAGGGAAAGACCAAGGGATGGAGACGCCAGGCAGAGCCAGTCCTCATGCTTGGGGCCTGGGCCTAGGAAAGGAACTAGGTGAAGAAGGGAGGAGCCCCAGGCTGTGGATGTCTCTGGGGGAACCTTGGTTCAGCAACGGCCAGAGGAGCTCCTGAGGCCAAGTGGTATCTGTCGCCTCCCTACCTTTGGGCGTCTTCTGGTCTTCAATATGCTGCAAGTCATGGCTCCGGAATCAAATTGGGCTCAAATTGTGCGAGCTCCAACGCAGTGGAGCCTGGCGCTACTCCCACCTCCTCCTCGTGGATCTCAGAGCTGCAGGATGGCTCTGCCCACCGCACCCTAAGCTGGCCCCGCTTGGGGCTGGCATTGGGGGACAGCATGTTCTGGGCGTCTCTGCTCCTTTCTGCTGGTGCCTGTGCCTTTGCTGGCCGACGACTCATAGATATCAGAGCCACAGGACGGCCCCGCAGAACCCCTGCGCCGGCCCTGCTGGGGGCTGGCTTTGGTGCACATGCGACCAGTCATCGTGGTCCCCATGGGGCATCTCTGCTCTTCTCGAGGCAGCTTGGGCCTTCGCTTGCCCCTACGTCTGCAGAGCTGAGCACCTGCCACCTCTCCCCAGGAAAGGCAACCAAATGCCACCAACTTAAGGCACCCACTGAAGGCCACCAACTGAAGGCCGGTTGCCGTGCCAACTTGATGGTGTCCTGCTTAGGAAGAACCAATCAGGCCTTGAGTTCCCTCCATGCGCTGCCCTTCCATTTGTGACGTGGGAGTCCAGGCACTGGCTCACAAAGCCGCGCCCCCCAGCGACCCCGCCCCACCTTTCATTTATTGGTAGCTGGTAGCAAATTTCAGGTTTCCTCACTGTGAATTATGGATATGAATTATGATGCAATTACTATATCCTAATGTACCTCATGCACTATCTGACCACCAAAGTCCCCTCTTCCCCCATGGCCTCTGAGTTTTTTGGAAACTAGAAAGAAGATACATTTCTGCAGGTGCTTTCAGAAAAAAACATTGCCACGATCTAAGGTTACTCTGTGATGTCAAGTCATATTTCATATGCCATATATATTCATATTTATATTCATAATTCAAAATGCACATATTCAATCAAAATAACAGGACTAAAAAGGAAATTTTCTAAAATTTATACACTAAGTACATTATATTTTTCTAATGATCACTTTGATAGAGCAAACTTAGAAACTATGGTTTCAACAAATGAAGAGGCTTATGCAAGAGAAAACCACCACCTAACACAAGATTTTCAATGTGATCATCATTGCTACTTTTCACTAGCAATTATCCAGTCAATATATTGTGAACTGCTTTGTTACTATGGTGATTTATTTAAACTTAGTGATCCTTTGATTATCTCAAAAATATGAATAATACCAATTTTATAAACTTGTTCTAAAAATTAAATGAGAGAAAAATAATCCTCCTTCTCTATATATTGAAAACCTACAAAATTAGTAACATTGTGTCCAGATATTACACACTTACCTTATTGAAGCCTCATCACAACCCCGTCTTTTAAATTACAGGGATTATTCCCAGATTTTTAAACACTTACCTTATGCAAGTCTCATAACAATCCCATCTTTTATAGATGAGCAAACTGAGGCTCAGATGAGTTAAAAACACATTCACCATCAAATCATAATGAGTGATGGAATTGAGATTCAAATCCAGTTCTCTCTGACACCAAAGATGGTGCAATATAATGAAGACCAAGTTATATCCAGCACATGGAGGGATCAAAACATGTTGATTCCCTTTCTCTACCCTCTTACATGTGAATCTCAATGACTTTCACTGCCTCAGAACAATCCTAAACTCCCTCCCAGGTTGCCTTGCAGAGGATCCCTTCATTTTGGCGACGATTAGGAATCCGCATTTTTGGACCACAGGCATCTATAAAGGGTTGTGTTGATCAAGAAACAAAATTGTCTAGGCCATAAGTTACTGTGAATTGTCTAGCTTCTCTGCAAAAAATAAATGGGCTATTCTCTTTATTTTTTACTATTTCACTATTGAGAATAGCCTAGAATCAACCTAAGTGTCCAAGAAGTCTTGGTTTAACCCTGAGGATTACTAATGTTTTCACTGTGGTCATTGTGGTAGATTATATTATCATTCTCCCATTATCTGGTCTTCCTACTGCAGTGACCCTATCTCCTAGAAGATTATACATTTCTGTCCTATTGAAGGAAGGGTCAGATTTAGATATGTGACCTGTTAGGCCACTGAAATGCAGGTAGAAGTGGCATGTGTAACTTGTAAGCAGAAAATTTCCTTTTTCAAGGATCTGGGAGCCATCCCTTTCAAATGTAATCCTCCAGAAAGATAATACCTTATTTCCCAGTCTCCATGAGAGAGTAAGAGCCTAATCTTGCTCCAAGTTGTAAAAATTATCTTATATCATAAAGATAAAAGAAAGTTTATTTTTCCTTTGAGAAAAGACAGTTAGCAAAGACAGGTGGCCTATGATCGCCCCCTTACCCTCACTTTCAAAAACTCCACGGCCCTTTGTATCAGGGGAGCTGAGTTCAGACTAGGTCTGGCCTCTCTCCTGTATTGCAATAGCTTGAATAATATCTTCCTTACTTATTTAAATTTTTCCAGTGCAATTTTTTCTTTGACTCTTTCCTCCCTCTCTAAAACTTACATTGAAATTTTAGTAGGATTCAAGGCAGCCAATCTCGACCCTTGAATATGTAAAAGAACCCTTTAAGATTAAAAAACCCATGTTATCTTCCATAAATTATTTCTCCAGACTATTGCCTTATTAAAAGTTTCTATTTCTTATTTTTGCATTGAAAAGGAGAATGATGATTTTTAAATAAGTTCCTACTCACTTTTAATTTCTACTATCACAGTTTTATTGCTTTTCATGGCAATAGATTCCTCTGGTTCAACAGGAAGGCCAGAACAAGGAAGTGCAGAAACATCTCAATATATCTCAAAAAGTTATTTAACATGGAGAGTGTCATTTAGTATCTTTAACATCTTTATCAAACGGATGCTATTATTATCCCCCTTTTACAGGATATTAAAACTTACATACTGTAAATAACCAGCTGAAAGTCATATAGCATGGAAAATACAATAAGCATACAAAGAAGCAATGGTATTAGAAGTGGAGGAGGGTGAAGGATTAAAAGGCTAAACTTAGTTTGGTTAAGAAAAAAGAAAACTAGGAGGTGGCAAACTCTTGTTGGAAAGGGGAAGGATTTGGGCAGAGCAAGGTAGTGGAGTCGATCTCTCCAGTAATCATACCCCTATGGACACATCTATATGAAAAACTATCCACATATGAAATTACCTTTACAAGAGCTAACGAACCCTGAATACATGAGTGAGTCTATGAAGCCCCTTTGGACTGCAAAGAGGAGTAAAACCATGCTTGGACAGTAAGGGAAACAGTACTCTGTGACTGTGATACTTCTCCCCCTGGACATAAAGGTATTATATGCACAAAGTCCTACTGAACTCACAGTTCTTACACTGAATAAAGTGAGCAGAAGTTGAATATTTTTTTCCACCATACTGAGTGCCTTCACAGTAGACTCACTCCTGCATCAGCCCACAAGCAGCACCATGAGTGTCAACAGAGCTGAACCACCAGAGGCATGCTAGGGACATAGAGAAGGGATTGGGTTAGCGATACTTACTATATGAAACTTAGCAGTGGCTAGCCATTCCTACCAGAGGAAACATTATACCAGACAGGTTGTTTATGGGCACCACGTTGTGGGAAACATGATACACAGACTGTCCAGATTTGATGGCCTGACTTGTTCTCCCCCAACAGACAGCAGCCTTTCTGTGGATCACCCATGGGCCCGTCCATTTACATTGTATCAGTGGTGAAGCCCTATTGCAAGACTTATGTCTAACCTTTGCTTTGGGCACCTCCTAATGCTAAAATGGAATATAATGGAAATCCACACAGAATTTCTAAACAAGCCCACTGAGAAACAGTCAAAAACAAACCCAGACTGAGAAGACTGAAATAAATATTTAATTCATCAATGTGTAGAAAGAGATGTACATCTACAAAAAATAAGAATAGCCTAGGAAAAACTGCCTCACCAAATGGAGAAAACAAGGTGTCAGCAACTGAACCTAAAGACATGCAAATGAATGATGTGGCAGACAAAAAAATTCAAATAGCTGTTTTTTTTTTAAAAAAATCTGTGCACTTCAACAAAGTACAGAGAAACAATATGGAAATTTATGAGAAATTCAACAAAGAATTTAAAATAATGGGAAAAAATTATACCAAATCATACCAAAGAAATGTTAAAGAACAGTCTTCAAACTGAAAGAAGAGGGCACTAATTTGTAATACAAAAAATTGGAAGGTATAAATTTGCAGGTAAAAATAAATATTCAGACAAATTCAGGATGCTCTAATATAGTAATAATTGAATGTAAACCACTTACATGTTTTTAGTAAGAAGGTTAAAATACAAAACAAAAATAATAACAACTACAATAATTTGTTAAGAGATAAGTGATATAAAAGATGTAAATTAAGACATCAAAAATGCAAAATGTGGGGGAGTGATTGAGTTAAAGAGCAGAGTGATTGCTTTTCCCCATTTCTTATTATCAAAATTAAGTTGTTATCCATTCAAAATTACCTATTGAAACTATAAAATATTCTTCGCATGCCTCATAGTAACCAAAAGGCAAACATTTTTATTAGATACACTAAAAATAAAAGAACAAGAAACAAAAACACACAGAGAAAATCACTTAACTACAAAGGAAGACAACAAAGGGACAAAAAGGTACAAAAATTCTAAAAGACAAGAAGAAAACAGTATATGGCAGTACAAGTCCTTATCTATCAATAATTACCTTGAATGTACATAGATTAAATTATCCAGTAAGAAGACAGAGAATGGGTAAATGGATTAAAAACAAGACCTAACTATATTCTTTCTACAAGAGACTCCCATCACCTGTAAATACACACATAAATTGAAAGTGATCAGATGGAAAAATATATTTTATGACAATGGAAATCAAAAGAATGCAGAAGTAGTTATATTTATATCAAATAAAATAGACTTCAAGTAAAAAAAACTGTAAACACAGACAAACAAGGCCATTATGTAATAATAAAGGGGTAAGTACAACAAGAGAATACAATAATTGTAAATATATAATGCCCTCAACATTGGAGAACCTAAATATATAAAGCAAACATTAATAGATCTAAAAGGAGAGACCAAAAACTGTACAATAATAGTGAGAAACCTCGACATCCCATTTTCAGCAATGAACAGATCATTGAGAGAGAATGTCAACAAAGAAACATTTAAACTGCACTCTAGATCAAAAGAATTTAACAGTTATTTACATAACATTTCATCCAACAATTGCATAATTCACTGTCTTTTCACCTGCATATGGAATATTGTCCATGATAGATATGTTAGAGCACAAAACAAGTCTTAGCTAATCAAAAAATCAAATCATATCACTTGTTTTTTTTGACCATATGGAATAAAGCTAGACATAAACAACAGAAGGAACTTCAGAAATTGTTCAAATACATACAAATTAAACAACATATCCCTAAACAACCAAAGGGTCAATGAAAAAAATTTAATTTTAAAACATCTTAAGACAAATAAAAATGAAATCAGAACATATGAAAACTTATGAAATACAGCAAAACAGTTCTTAGAGGGAAGTTTATAGCAATACATTTTGACATCAATAAAGAAGAAAGATAATGAATAAAGCATCTAACAATGTATTTCAAGGAACTATAAAATCAAGAACAAACTAAGACCCAAATTAGCAAAAGAATATAAAGATCAGAGCACAAATATACAAAATGAAGACAAAAAAATACAAATGAGTCATTAAATGAAGGAATCTTCTTTGAAAAGGTAAAATTGACAAATGTTTTGTCAGACTAAGAAAAAAAGAGAAAATTCACATAAAATCAGAGATGAAAAAGGATATACTATGATAGACTCTAGAGAAATATAAGGAATCGTAAGTACTACAAACAATTATATGTCAATAAATTGAAAAACTTAGAAGAAATACGTATGCTCTGGACACATATAACCCATCAAAATTGAAGAAAGAAGAAGTAGAAAATGTGAACACACCAATGAAAATTATTAGATTGAAGGAGTGATTTAGGCTCTCAGTCAAGAAAAATCCAAAAGACTTTACACAGTAGCTCACATCTGTAATCTCACAGTTTAGGAGCCCAAGGCAGGAGAATCACTAGAGGCCAGGAGTTCAAGATTAGCCTGGGCAACACAATGAGACTGCATCTCTAAAAATAAAAATAAAAATTCCCCAGGTATAGTGGTATGTACTTTTACTCAGGAGGCTGAGGCAGGAGGATCACTTAAGACCAGGAGTTTGAGGCTGCAGTCAGCTATGACTGCACCACTGTATGCCAGCCTCAGTGATAGAGTGAGACCCTGTCTCTAAAAAAATAGAGGAAGAAAGAAAAATTCATGACTTGGTGGTTTTTGCTGACAAATTCTACAAAACATTTTAAAAACTTATACAAATTATTTACAAACTATTTCAAAAAAATGAAAAGGAGGGAACTCTTTGTAAACTCCAGGCCAATATCATTGATAAACATAGATGCAAACATTCAAAACCAGCAGTTCTAGCAATGATAATTCAAAAGCACATTAAAAAGATTATTCACCATAATCAAGTGGTATTTACCCGGGGAGGTAAGGATAGTCTAATACATGTAAATCAATAAAATGTGATACATCACATTAAACAAAGAAGGATAAAAAGCATATAATAATTTCAATAGATGCAGAAAAAAGCATTTGACAAAATTAGACATCCTTTTATGATCAAACCTTTTAACAAATTAGTTATAAAAGAACATAATAAAATAAAGACCATATGTGATAACCCACAGGCAACATTATACTGAATGGTGAAAACTTGAAAGCTTTGCCTCTAGGATCTGGAACAAGACAAGGATGTTCACTTTAATCACTTTTTTCAACATAGTACTGGAAGTCCTAGTCATAACAATTATGTAAGAGAAAGAAATAAAAGGCATCCAAATTGGAAAAAAAAGTCAAATTGTCCCTCTTTGCAGATGACATGATCACATATGTAAAAAACCCTAAGTACACCACTGAGAATCAGAAATAGTAAGTGAATATAATAAGGTTTCAGGATACAAAAGCTACATAAAAAATCAGTAACATCTCTACAACAATAGCAGACTATCTGAAAAAGGAATCAAGAAAATAATCCCATTTAAAATAGCTATAAAAAACCAAAATACCTATAAGTAAATTAAGCCACAGAAAGATGAAAATTATTAAACATTGATAAAAACAATTTAAAGAATTAAAATAAATAGAAAGATATCCCATGTTCATGGACTAGAAGAATTAATATTGTTGAAATGACCATACTACTCAAATCAATCTATAAATCCAATATAATCTCTATCAAATTTCCAACTTCATTCTTCACAGATATTAAAAAATATCTTAAAATCCATGTGAAACTACAAAACACCCCAAATAGCCAAATAAATCTTAAGCAAAAAGAGCAATGCTAGAGGTATTACACTATCTAATTTCAAAATATATTACAAAGCTATCCTAACTAAAACAGCATGGTATTGGCATAAAAACAGACATGTAGACCAGTGGAACAAAAATAGAGAGCTCAGGCATAAATGCACATATTTACATGCAACTTATTTTAGACAAAGGTGCAAACATTCAATTGGGAAAAGACAGTCTTTTCAACAAATGGTTCAGGGAAAAGTGCATATCCACATACAAAAGAATGAAAGTAGACCCCTATCTCTCATCATATAAAAAAATCAACTCAAAATAAATTAAATATTTAAATGTAAGGCCCCCAAACTATGAAACTAGTAGAAGAAAACATAGGTGAAATGTTATATGTCATTGGTCTGGGCAAGGACTTTTTAGAAAAGACATCAAAAGACATGCACAACAAAAGCAAAAGTAAACAAATGGGATAACACCAAATAAAAACTTCTGCACTGCATAGGACACAATCATGAGAGTGAAGAGACAACCTACAAAATGGGAGAAAATATCTGCAAACTATTCACTTCATAAGGGGTTAATACCCCAAATTTATAGAAAACTCAAACAACTCAATAGCAAAAATACAAATAATTGGATTAGAAAACAGTCAAGATAGCTGAATAGACATTTCTCCAAATAAGACAAAAAAATCACCAACAGGTATATGAAAAAATGCTCACCATCACTAATAATCAGAGAAATGCAAGCCAAATCCACAGTGAGATATCATCTCACCCTGCTTAGAATGCTTTTTATGAAAAAGTCAAAAAATAACAAATGCTGGCAAGGATGTGAAGAAAGGGGAATGTTCATACACTGTTGGTGGAAATGTAAATTAGAGCAATTGTTATGGAATACAATATAACTTCCAAAAACATTAAAAATAGACTTATCACATAATCCAGCAATCCCACTACTGGGTATATATTCAAAGAATATTAAATCAGTATGTCAAAGAGATTTCTGGACTCTCATGTTTATTACAGCACTATTCACAATAGCCTAGAATCAACCTAAGTGTCCATCAATGAATGAATGGAGAAAGAAAATGTGGCATATATGCTGTATTTGGTCATTCTTGCATTGCAAAAATAAAGAAATACCTGAGATTGGATAATTTATAAGAAGAGAGACATAATTGGCTCCTGGCTCCATGGGCTGTACAGGGAGCATAATGCCAACATCTGCTTGACTAGTCAGGAAGCTTGGGAACTCGTTCACTATCATGAGGATAGCACCAAGCCATGAGGGATCCACCTCCATGACCCAAACACCCCCTACCAGGCCCCATCTCTAACAGTGGGGATTACAATATAACATGAGATATGGGTCAGGACAAATATCCAAACTATATCATATGCACATTTGGCCATAATAAAGGGTAAAATCGTGTCACTTGTGACAACATGAATGAGCATAGACGACATTGTGGTAAGTGAAATAAGCTAACCACGGTAAGACAAATATCACATGATCTCATTTATATGTGAAATCTAAAAACACTGATCTAATAAAGAGTAGAAGAGTGGTTACCAGAAACACTGATCTAATAAAGAGTAGAAGAGTGGTTGCCAGACTGGGAAAGATAGGGAGGAGAGGTTTTAACAATGCATCATGTATCAAAATACCACATTGTACCCCATCAACATGTGAAATTATCATGTATCCACTTAATAAAAGCAAAGAAAAAAGAAAATGGAAGAGTCAAGATACTGAGGCACTGGAAGAGATAGAAGAGAAGGTGAATTGGCAGTAAGGAAGAGAGAGTCTGAAAGAGCAGGTCACAGAGTGGGACATTAAAGTTTATAACATTAGAAATCAATTTTTAAGTGATTGAAAAGTTAAGTTTATAGCCATGAAAGTGAGTAGCTCAATTGAAGTGAAAGTAAAAGTCAATGAAAGATTAAATTAGAAAATATATTGCTTGGCATTTAGTAGTTACTTCAGAAATATTAATAAATCTTAAGAAAATTAAGAACACCAAAGCATTCATAGTGGGCCATTATCATAATATGAATTTATGTGGTAATATTTTATTCTTTCCAGTGAAGGGAGTAATTCAGTCTTGATTACAGGTTAGAAAATGATTTTTCCAGGTGTGACCCACTGACCACATTCATTGTATTTGAATTGCTTGAGCAATTTGTTTCAGGAGAAAATGGAAAGATTTTAAGATGGACCAACGAAATTACCACTGAGTGTCTTTAATGGAAATCTCAGCCTTGTCTAGAATAACCTGAGTTATCTGTTTCTATGGGGTCTCTGTGCCTTTTGTTTTCTTTGTTATTTGCAATTCTGTTAGTTGTAGATTACTGATAGTAATGCAAATATTCATGTTTATAGACAGGCAAATGATTGATTTTGGTGGAAGTATAATTAATTTTCCTTTTCCCACCTTCCATCAAGAATTCAGTTTTGAACCTATCAAGCAAATTTATTTCAGTGTTCCTTAGTGCCTAGATATGTGTGGCTCTTTTAATTTTCCGTAAAACTCAGTATAACATCTTACTGGCTCCTTCATTAAACGAAAATCCTAGACAAGTGTTCATTTTATATTTGTAAGTTATAATTTACCCTATTTTAAGCAATTTTCCTTTATCATTCCTAAAAATACAGATTCCTATGCCCCATGCTAGACCTATTGAATCAAAATCTCAGGCCTAAGGCACGAGAATTTACATTGTTAGTAAGCTTTTCAAGTGATTTTTAGGCATACTAAATTGTATTACCCATTACCATTCTAATTATTTAAACTTGAATTATTGTATTTATAATTCCATCTTCATCAAAGTAAACTTTTGGTTAGCAAAAACGGTAGAAACCCCCTTATTCAATCAGATTGGGACCAGTAATAAACAGATTAATCACAAATTTAAGTTAGCTGGAGGAATCATAAGAAGTATTAGATGTAAGTCCTTAAAACTTAACTTTAATTTAAAAGACATGTGTAAATAAATTTGCCAGAATTTTGATGACAAGGTCAAACCCTTGCACGGATTCAGAGTGGAGTTTCTTGTGGAAACTATGCCAATGATATGTTGTCATTGATTTCTTGTTCACTTTCTGTGAAGACAACTGGGGTAAAGCAATCTGAAATCCTAGATTACACAATTTTTCCCATTTGTTTCTAGTTGTCTTGCCAACAGTTAAGCTGACAGCAACTGTTGAGTTTCTCATTTTTCCAACATATTTAGTTTATTTATCAGAGAAACAACAATACTACTCTTGTTATACTCATTTTCTCAGTTTACGTAATATTTATTTATTTATTTATTTATTTTGAGACGGAGTCTCGCTCTGTCACCCAGGCTGGAGTGCAGTAGTGCGATGTCTGCTCACTGCAAGCTCCACCTCCCGGGTTCTTGCCATTCTCCTGCCTCAGCCTCCCCAGTAGCTGGGAGTACAGGCACCCGCCACCACGCACAGCTATTTTTTTTGTATTTTCAGTAGAGACGGGGTTTCACCGAGTTAGCCAGGATGGTCTCGATCTCCTGACCTAGTGATCCGCCCGTCTCAGCCTCTCAACATCATATTTAATTAAATTGCATAACTACAAGAACAAGAACAAATGGCGTAAACATATTTAGGAATGAACACAGCTTCCTCTTAGAAACTGTACAATTTCTGTGATGGAAGGAGAAATGTACAGGCATTAAAAGCAGCTCAAAGGCTTTCCATTTGCAGTGGACATCAGTCAATAAGTTGTACAGGGGTACAAGAAAGTGCTGATTGTAAATCAGTTAAGTGGAGGTCAGTTAAGGCAACATCCACTGTATCTTAATTTGTAAAGTGAATGTTCTAAAACTGGGTTCACTTTTGCTATAAAGGACCAGATGAAAAATATTTTAGGCTTTGCAAACCATACGTTCTCTATAGCAACCATTCAACTCTACCATTGTAGCAGGAAAGCACCATAGATCCATGGATGTGCTCCAATAAAACTTTATTAAAACAGGCAGCTGGCCTGAAGGCCATGTATATATCTTGCTGTTTTCATACAATTTTCTAAGTTAGTAGTTCCTTGCTTTTCTAATAATCAAGGATTACTTTTAATCCTCTCGTCTGATTTTATGTTTCAAAAGCCTTAAGAAAAACCCACAAAATATATTTATTTTGTAATTTTGGGGGGGGGTTTATTTTACTAATAAGTAATCAATGATATATAAAGGCTACCCATTAGGTCAGTATGAAATAATCAACATTATTAACTCTAATGACTTAGTACTGGATAGAAATAAAAAGTATTCAACTATATACATATAACTTAAAACCTGTATAGATTTTTCTGGTGTAAATATATAACTTTTCGAGATTTTTCAAGTATTAAGTACAACTTTTAGGAATCCTCACACCTGGCTCCCTATGATGACATTCAAGAATTCCTTAGGATTCTGGGAATCTTCAAATGAAAGTCACTGCTCTGTAGGAATGAATGAATGAATGAATGAATAAGAAAGGGAAGGAAGAAGAAAGAGCATGTCTACTAAATGTAAATTAATCATCAAGGAATGTTTATTTATTAATAAATTTGTCAACTTTAGGTTGCCAAATCTAACAAGAGACCAACATGGCATTCATGGTGATCACACCTCTAGTCAAATTTTATTTTAGTTCATTGGCTATACTATTAATATCCTGTAATACTCAAAAATTTTGTCTTAATTCTGTGAATAATTGACTTATTAATCACCCTATACACTACTTAATGAATGGAATGGTGCTTGGAATAAAGATAATTATAGGGCTAAAAGGGTTTTCTCTAGAGGCAGGTTATAGGATTTTTTTGTCTGACTGGAATAAAACAAAATTAATCAATATTTTCTGCAACCAATGGCTTTTGACTTAGTCATCTATTAATATCTATCAATCACTATAACCTCAGTCCTATTTCCTCCATTCTTCTTTTTGCTATCATAAAAACTGGTCCATTTTTTTCCTGTTAGATCTATATGTTTCACCTCTTTTCTTTTCATCCAAACAACTGGTCATCAACTTAGTACAGATAATGCAATTGATCCAAACCCTACAGAACTCACTGTTTCAATTTACATAACTTACATAACTGTCAAGCTGAAATCACTCTCAAATTTTTTAATTCAAAATTTTAATTTCATTTAATCATATTTATTTATTCATTAATTAATTTATTTTGAAAATAATTTTAACTTGTATTTTACATTCAGGGGTACATGTGCCAGTTTGTTACATGGGTATATCCCATATTGCTGAATTTTGGGGTATGAATGATCCCATCATCCAGATGCTGATTTGGTATGGTTTGACTCTGTGTCACCATAAAAATCTCATGTTGAATTGTAATTCCCAAAGTAGGGGGAATGACTTGGTGGGAGGTGATTAGCTCATGAGGGCAGATTTCCCCCTTGCTGTTCTTAGGTGGTAAGTGAGTTCTCATGAGATCTGATGGTTTAAACATATGGCACATCCCCCCTGGCTCTCTTGCTCTCCTGCCACCATGGTAGAATGTGCCTTGCTTCCCCCTTCACCTTCTGCCAAGATTATAAGTTTCCTGAAGCCTCCCAGCCATGCTTCCTGTACAGCCTGTGGAACTGTGAGTCAGTTAAACCTCTTTTCTTTATAAATTACCCAGCCTCAGGTAGTTCTATATAGCAGTGTGAGAACAGATTAATACATGAGCATAGTACCTAATAGTTTGTCAAACCTTGCCTTCCTCCTTCTCCCCTCTAGTAGTCCCGGTGTTTATTCTTTCCATCTTTATGTCCATGAGTACCCAGTGTTTAGCTCCCACTTATAGGTGAGATCTTGTGGTATTTCATTTTGTATTCCTGCATTAATTTGCTTAGGATAATGGCCTTCAGCTGCATCCAAGTTGCTTCAAAGGACATGATTTTGTTATTTTTATGGCTGCATAGTATTCCATGGTGTGTGAAATGGTTTGGAAGGTGGCCCCTATAAATTTCATGGTGAAATGTAATCCTCAGTGTTGGAGGTGGGGCCTGGTAGGAGGTGTTTGGGTCATGGGGGTGGATCTCTCATGGCCTGATGCGTCCTTGTGATAGTGAATTCTTTCAAGATCTGGTTGTGTAAGGGTGTGTGGTACTTACCCCCACTCCCATTCTCTCTTGCTCCTGCTCTGGCCATGTGATGTACCTACTCCCTCTTGGCCTTCCATCATGAGTAAATGCTCCCTGGAGACTCCACAGGCGCCAGGCAGATGCCGTCACCATGCTTCCCGTACAGCCTGCAGAGCTATGAGCCAATTAAATCTCTTTTCCTTACAAATTACCCAGTCTCAGGTATTTCTTCATAGCAATGCAAGAATGGCCTAATAATACTGTGTGGATGCACCACATTTTATTGATCCAATCCACTGTTGATGGGCACCTAGGCTGACTCCATGTCTTTGCTATTGTGAATAGTGTTGCGATGAACATGCAAGTGCATATCTCCTTTTGGTAGAATAACTGACTTTCTTTGGGTCATATACCAGTAATGGAGTTGTTGGCTTGAAAGGAATTTCTATTTTAAATTCTCTGAGAAATTTCCAAACCGCTTTCTACAGTGGTTGAACTAATTTACATTCGCACCAATTATGTGTAAATGTTCCCTTTTCTCCACAGCCTCCCAAGAGCTGCTGTTTTTTGATTTTTTAATAGTAGCTATTCTGACTGGTGTAGGATGGTATCTCCTTTTGGTTTTGATTTGCATTTCTCTGATGATTAGTGATGTTAAGCCTAATCTTTGCCACCAGAAAACTGGGAAAATACAGTGTCGCTTGTCAAAATAAATTGTTTTACTTTGCTTTAAAAATAATCAATTGAGTAGTATATTTCTTCCAGCAAAATTAAGAAGTAAACATTTAGAAATGTACAGTACCTTGCTGTTAAGTCTTCGCATAAGTATACCAATCGAACATAAAAGCCACCTTAAACTTTCATTTGAAATGAAAGACAATTTTTAAGAGGTTAAGGGCTAGTAATTTGTTAAAGTCCTGAAGTTAAATTAGCTCAAGTAAATATAAAGACTTTCCTTTAATTAAAGCCTTTTAAATGAACACTTTAAAGCATAGTTGGTTTCTCCCTCAAATCTTGTCCAAAGCCACTGTTTACAACTCAGTATATCAAAGAAGGTTTCAGACATGATTATGAAGCTCCCTCAACTTACAACGTGCTATTTGCAACCTTAGATGCTATCATTCTGGCTTTTCTAACTTTTAGCAACAATAAGCACACCCTTCCCATTTCTCCCCCACCCTGACTTACCCCTCTTTGCATTTAATAGATAATTTTTCTCAGAGTGTTCTTACACATCTTCAACTGTAAATATGACAAAAGCACACAGTATAGTACATGTGCCACATGTATAAATGTTGTATCTAGTCATACAATTTTGCTTTTAAAAAAGAAATATTTTATTTTCAAAAAGCAAAGACTCTAGGAATCTTTTCCAGCTGCCAGTCATAAAAACATGAATTTCTGGTTAGAGCCCCAAATTTCCCTGACCATAAGAACCACTTGTGGTATTTGTCAAACACATGTATTCTGAGTCCCATCCGTGATCTCCTGAATCAGAATCAGCAGGAGAGAGGCCTGGGAATACACATTTTAAACAAATGTCCACAGTGATTACGATTAGTCAAGCTTGAAAAAAATTTCACTAGGATCATTATGACTGAATAACCTCACAAACATAGGAAAGTTACTGGAGAAAAATACGAGCAGAATTTCAGAATTCTGCCTTTGCTGAAAGTGTTTGTTCCCTCCTCCTCTACTCATCAAGACCTGACTGCTTATGTAACTCCCCCAAACCACCAACACCTGGGAGGAGTTGAAAATGATTTTAATGAAGAAGAAAAGCTGATGTTTAATTTCAAAACTGACGGTGACAATAGAAGGGAGAGGCATGAATTTATCTTGATTCTAACACAAAGCATTGTATTTGAGTCAACAAACAAAATTGGTTTCATTTTTATTTTTTGTAAGTTTTCACCAAACTCTATGCATATATAGAGGCTGGGCAAGAAAGAAAGAAATCCAGAAATATGGCATATGCCATCCCTTATTTATTTCCCCATGCGACCAGCCAACAGCTTCTTCACCTAGTCCCTGCTTCAAGCTGACTTTGTGTCTACTTCTCTATCGGAAATGGAGCTTCCCTAAAGACTGCCTCAATGTCAGTTACCCAGAGGCCTTTTTTCCATCTTGTGTTCCTAAACTTCTATGATATTAAATGATATTACCCTTTCTGGAAATTCTCCTTAGCTTTGATTTTATAATTTTACTCTAACTGTTTCATTCCTTCTTTTATAGCCTTTCTTTTCTCTATCCCTTTACTGCAGACATGTTGTACGGCTTTGTTCTTGACCTTCTGATCTCTCCACATTCATTCCCTCAGAGCATGTATCCATTTTCTTGGTGTCGGCCTTCCTGACTATCTGATTATTACCATCATATAACGATGTTGGTGATGAGCATAGCTAACATATCCTAGGCATTTTCCATGTAGGTTATCATAAGCACCCTATATAATTTGTACCATTTAATTCTTCAACCCTAAATGATACTATTACGAACCACATTGTATGAGATGAGGAAACAGATTTTCATCAAAACCATGGAAAGCCAACGTGAGGAGCCCCTGTGTGTCTCCTTTGTTAATGCCTCTGGGCATCATGGCATGTGGATTGCCCTAGAATGGTGATTAGGAAGCGCAGCACTGTGAAAACACCAGAAAATACGTTATGATAGCGGGTAAGGATGCTCATCTCCGCCCATTGAGATGGTTTTGTTTCTGAGTCAGGTTTGAGATGAGCCAATCCTGACTCCATGGTGCCACCAGGGATCACGAATTTAATAAGATCTTCGTGGATGCTTGGAACCCAACTGATCTCTGTTTTCTACTTTAGGGAAAGAGTCACAGCTTAAATTGGGTGGTTTTGGTGTCACATACGCTATCAATAATACCCACCGTTTTGGTGTCACATACGCGATTAATAATACCCACCGCTGCAGAGGAATCACCGTGGACTACTGCTTGTTTCATCCCATGATCTTGCGATGGATCCCTCTCACCTGTTTACTGATTTCATTCAAATTCTTCAGCGACCACAGGACCCCGACTTGCCTTCTCTATCCTGGTTCCCATCACGCTGATTTACAGGCCTGGCCTGCTCGCGGCTCCTCACACCAGCACTGCGCGTCTCCCTCCACGCCTCTGCCCTGTTTCCTCCATCAGACAGGACTAGCTTCCTCCATCTCTATTGGGCAAAAGCCTGCCCAGCGTTCAAGACCCTCCTCAGATGCCGGCTCCATGATTAGGCTTCTTCCTGACTCCTGACCCTGTAACACGCGCCACCATAACTCTCCACCTTGGCCCACATTCCCACAGCACTCGCGACGTCCGCGGCCCTCAACATGGCGCTTCATTCCATTTTAGGGTATTTCCTGCTTGTTTCCTGCACACACAGTCGCGCGAGGCACAGCCCCGAGTGACCCGCGCACGAGTGGCCCGCGCTCCCAGACGCACTGCCGCAGGCCAGGAGGGCAGCCTGAGCCGCTTCCCGCCCCCGCGGGACCGTCACCAGCCCACAGCTCTAGCGGGAGGCGGTTCCACAGCGTGCCCGGCAGCCCCGCCACCGTCAGCACCGAAGCCTCGGGCGGGCTTTCCCCACCTCTGGGAGGCACGAATCCTCAGGGGCTCCTCGAGAGGGTGCCAGGGAGCAGATGCGTGCGGACACCTTTCGGCCCTCTGCAGCCGCCGTAGCTCCGCCCCCCCCCCGCCCCGGGAGAAACCCGGAAGTGGAAATCTCAGCCATTCAGCATTTGGGTGAAGACGGAGGTGGGTTCTGGACAGACCTACGCTGTCAGGGAGTGTTTACTTCGCCTACACTTCTGTTCCTCCCCGCCCTGGTGCTGCTCCAGGTCACATACTCGTCCTGAGCTGGCTTCAGCCTCTGCACAGAAGTCTCCCGGAGCCATGGCCTAGTACTCTTATGTGAAGTCTACCAAGCTTGTGCTCAAGGGAACCGAGGTGAAGAGCTGGGTCCTGCAGCTCCGGCGGGAGCCTCCTCAGTTCTTTTCGGACGCACTCCACCCCCGCGAATCCGGTGGGAGCCGTGGTGCGGAGAGCCGGCTTCGTGGCCTCCCAGGCTTCGCTCTGACCCTGTCTGGGCTGGACGGAGGCCGGACCACCCTTCCTGGCGCCTGTGCAGAGAGGGGAAGCCTCCTGCGCGGACGACCCTGGAAACAGGATAGACAGGCGGGTGACCCGTGGCCCCGTACCCACGAGTTTGGGTCCCCTGAGGCATCTCTCCAGGCCTCTGCCTGGTGGGTGTGCGTTAGTCTGATCTTGTAGTTCATTATAATAACTTCCTTTATTAGGGATTATTCTTTTCTCCATTGTCTCTTCCTGGAAAAATTATTGATTAATTTTTTTCTAAGCTAATATGTAGAGTGAAACCAGGATGAATCACACAGTGGTTGAGGTGTATATGGACTTTGATAGGGATATGGGCTGGAACCTGCACTCTGTCATTTACTAATTTTGTAATTTGTGGCAAATTGGTTAATATGTCTGAACTTCCATTTACTCATTAAGAGATCAAGTATCTGAACCTCCGTTTACACATTTATACTTTCAGACCATTTTTTATACCTTTAGAAGACTGTGAGGATTAAATGAGAGAACATACATGCAGTAAATAAATTGAGCCAAATGTGAGGAGGATGTTGTAGTGGTAATTTATTAGCTCTTTAGGAGAAAAATAACTGTGCATTCATATCCCTGCTTCTTTTTTAACTGGCAGATTTGCCTGAGGTTGACTGTACATACAAATATTGAGCATTTCCTCCTGGCCTCCGTGATAAACAGAAGTTTTGATATTGTTAGGCGAGATGGAAAGAAAGTATCAAGGAGTGAGCTGAAGCCACTGCCCTTGAGAACCCTCTCGAGGAGTCTGGCCTCATGAAGATGCCAGAATAAATGGCAGGTATATCCTGAATGAATGTGAGATTTTTACTCTGTGAATTTCCTATGAGGAGTGGTGAGTTATCTTCTGAAAACTTTATGATGAAAATGCAGACAAGAGTGTCTTAAGATTATCGTAATAATCATAATTAATGCTTATATAGCACTTTCAATGCGCCAAGAAATTGTTGTAGGCACTTTGCACATTAACTTTTTTCAAATCCCTCTTGGGTTTTTATTTTTTTATTGCGATGTAATTCATAATTATAAAATTCACCCTTTTGTACAGTCAGTGGTTTTTAGTATATATTCAAGAGGTTCACCACTGTCTAGTTGCTCAGCATTTTCGCCACCTCAGAAGGAAATCTCTTCCTACCCATTAAAGCTGTCACATCCCATCTTCCCCCTCTCCTAGTCCATGGCAACCACTAGTCTGCTATCTATGTGAAATTGCCTATTCTGAATATTTCCTAAGAAATCATGCAACATGTGGCCTTTTGTATCTGGCTTCTTTCACTTACAACATTCTTGAGGTCCATCATTGTTGTAGCACTTGTTCCTTTTTATGGCTGCGTAGTAGTCCATTGTATGGATGTAATATTTTGTTCATCCATTCATCAGTTGATGAACATTTAGATTGTTTCCCCTTTTTTACTATTGTGAGTAATGCTAGTGTGAATATTCTTATGTAAGATTTTTGTGGGTGTATGTTTTCATTTCCCTTGGGTATACATATTTAGGAGTAAAATTCCTGGGTCATATGGTAACTCTTTAACTTTTTGAGGAACCCCAAACTGTTTCCTGTAGATGCTGCACCATTTTACATTTCCACCAGCAATGTGTGAAGATACATATTACCTCTTAATCCTCACAATAGCCTTAAGAGTTAAGTTGTTATCCTAATTTTTTAAATGGGGAAACTGACTCACAGAGACATTCAGTATCTTTTCCAAAAATTGCAGAGCTAAGAAGTGACAGAATCAGGATTTAAAATCTGGAGGTGTGGCTCTACACTCTGCTTTGAACTTTAACATAATATATACAAAGCCTGAAGCAAATTCTCAGTACTGTATTTAAGAGGGCATAGCAATGTAAGTCTTCCTAAATCAATAATTTATAAATGAAACAACTTAAAAGACTTCCAAGTTTCAATCTTATGATACTTATTTATCACACAAATCAGTATACTTAAACTCATCTATATAAATTATGTCCTGTAGTAAGAAGAAAAAGAGCAAAGATAAGAAGAGAAAAAGAGAAGAAGATGAAGAAACCAGCTTGATATGTTGGTGAGTCAGTTTTCAGTGCTTTATTCTGAAAAAAGTTAACATTTCTTGAGATCTCATTGAAAATATTTTCCTAGTTAGAAATTTATGATGTATTCATATTTGTCTTAAAGTGCTTAAATATTACCTACAGTTGTAAATTCCATTTATTCTTTAGCACAGTAGATGCTACTGATGCCTTTACTTCATTATCAGAACAGAGCACAGGAAAGAAGAATTACAACTCTCTGACTTAGTAGGCTCCATTAGACTGCTTAATAGCCGGAGATTCTGATACATAATTTTAAAGGCTTAATGTAAATGTTATTCAACCAAATATATTTTACAAGCTATTTTCTTTGAACATGTGTACATTTTAGTTGTAGAAGTCAGTTGTCTCTTAAACGAAGTATCTTCACAGGAAAAATCATTATTTTGTGAACTCTGAAATGAATGAAAATTTTAAATACAATATCAGGGTAGCCTGTAAATGATACTAGAAATAAACTGACCCAAACACACTTAACCAGCCTGTTTTCCGTTTAGCTGTTTCCATACTTTTTTTTCTTTTAAAACTTGGCAAGTTGCATTTTGAATCTTCATAAATTATGGTAGCTTAAAAAATATATAAAATATGGAATGGTGTAAAGCTAATGTTCTGGAAGAATCATTGCTTTTGAAATGGCAAATCAACAATTCTAAAATTAGGGTAAATATCTAGGGTAGATATGTAGATGTGGAATTGCTGTGTCAAAGGATAGGTGAATGTTTAACTATATAAGAAACTGTCAAAAATTTTCTAAAGTGGTTGTGCTATTTTATCCTCCCACCAAGAATGAATTAGTTCTCCAGTTACATCCCTGCCAAGAGTTGATGGTGTTATCAGTCTTTTCCCCCAGTCTGAGTTTTACCTTTTCAGTTTCTTAATGGTGGTTTTTGGATGGACAGCTTTTTTTTTTTTTTTTTTTTTTTTCCGAGATGGAGTCTCGCTCTGTCACCCAGGCTGGAGGGCAGTGGCGCGATCTTGGTTCACTGCAAGGTCCACCTCCCAGGTTCATGCCATTCTCCTGCCTTAGCCTCCCAAGTAGCTGGGACTACAGGCATCTGCCACCATGCCCAGCTAATTTTTTTTGTTTTTAGTAGTGACAGGGTTTCACCATGTTAGCCAGGATGGTCAGAAGCTTTTAATTTTTATAAAGCTTAGTTTATTTTTTTTCTTTTATGGTTACTGCCTTATCTCTTTGATCTAAGAGATCTTTGCTTATCCCAAAGTCAGGAAAATATTCTACATTGTCTTTTAGAGGAATCATAGTTTTAGTTTTTACGTTAAATCTGTCATTAATCTCAAATTAATTTTTGGCATGGTGTGAGTTTGGTTTCAAGATTTACTTTTTTTTTTTTAACATCTTGATAGTCATTTGTGCCAGCACCACTGGTGTTTCCTTTTTCCATTAATCCAGTTTCTTATCTTCATAAAAAGTCAATTAACTTTCCATGTATTGGTCTATTTCTGGACTCTGTTCTATCGATTGTCTGTTTTTCTTTTGGTATATTTCTCTTGATTGCTATAATTTCATGAAGTCTTGAGATCAGGTAGTGTGTGTCCTCCAACTTTGTACTTACTATTAGTTTATTAATTTCTACAGTGAAGCCTGTTGGATTTTCTCGGAGAATTGTATTGAGACCAGATCATTTGGGGGAGAATCAACATCTTAATATTGGGCCTCAATATTTCATAATTTTCAATGTAGCAGTCTTGCATGCCTGTTTAAAAATTTATTCTTAAGTATTTTATAATTTTACATTACTGTCAGTAGAACTTTTGGATTTGACTTTCCAGTTGTTTGCTGTCAGTATGTAGATATACAATTGATTTTTGTATAGTGACTTTATAGTCTGATAAGTCTGTTTCACTTATTACTTCTAGTGGTTTGTTTATATAGAAAACTAAGAAATTTGCAATTATGTTTCCTGTGACTATTGTTTTACTTCTTTCTTTCTAATCTTTATGTCTTGTCTTGCTTTTTATTGGTTTATTATACTGTCCAGGACTTCCATAGTGTTGAACAGAAGTCACGAGAATGGGCATAATTGCATTGTTTCCAAGCTTAGGCAGAAAGCTTTCAGTAGTCCACCATATGGTATGATGTCTGTACGATCTACAGAGAAAACCTTTATCAAAATGAGGACATTCCTTTTAAGCTTTGTTTCTTGGCAGTTTTTATCATAACGATGTTTAATGCTGTCAAATGTCTCTTTCTGTATCTGTTGAGATGATTATACAACTTTCTTCATTCTGCCAATGAATTACATTGGTTTCATTTTCAACTTTTAAACTAACTTTACATCCCTGAGATAAACCCCACTTGGTTGTGGTGCATTGTCCTTTGGAATATTGCTAGAGTTGATTTCTAGGTTTTTTTTTTTTTTAAGATTTGTATATTGGTGTTGATGGAGATATTGGATTTTTGTATCCTTTTCTTGTAATGTCTTTATTTGATTTTGGTGTCAAGGTGATATTGGGTGTCATAAAATTAGAAGGGAAGTGCTGTCTCCTTCCCTGTTTTTGGAAATAGCTGTGTAAGATAGGTATGATTTCTTCTTTACATGTTGGATAGGATTTACCAGTGAAGTAATCTGAACCTAGAGGGTTTTGTTTGGTTTGGTTTTAGTTTTTTGTGGGAGAATTAAGATTTTTTAGGAGATATTTTCAGATTTTTCTGTTGTCAGTTTTGGTAATTTGTGTCTTTTAGGAAAATTTCATTTCATCCAAGTTGTTGGATTTATTGGCATAAAATTTTTCAGAATATTCCTTTAATATCCTTTTAATGTCTGTAGAATCTAATCTGTATTGCAGTCTCTTCATATTGGTAATTTTTGTTTTTTCTATTTTTTCCTGGATCAGTCAGTCTAGCTGGAGGTTTATCAATTCTTTATAAGATCACTTATTTTAGATAATTAATGATCTTTTAGTACAGGGGTATTCACTCTTTTAGCTTCCCTGGGCCACAATGGAAGGAGAAGAATTGTCTTGGGTCACACATAGAATGCATTAACGATAAGCTGATGAGCCAAAAAAAAAAAAGGAAAAAAAAATCTCATAATGTTTCAAGAAAGTTTACGAATTTGTGTTGGGCTGCATTCAAACCTGGCCTGGGCCACATGCAGCCCTCAGGTTGGACAAGCCTGTTTCAGTATTACTTATTTTCTCTTTTTTTCATTTTTTATTTCATTTATTTTCAGTCTTTTTTTTCCCTCCCTTTAACTTATTTTCAGTTTACTTTGCTCTTGTTTTATTGCTTCTTAAGAAGAGAGTTAGATCTCTTCATTCCACGTTAGTTTTAGTTATAGTCAACACATTTTGCTTTCATTTTCATTCCATTCAAAATATCATCTAGTTTTCCTTGTGATTTTTCTTTTCATGGACACTAGAGTTATTTAAAAGTGTATTGTTTTTTAATTTCTACTACATAGAGATATTATAGGTATGTTATTGTTGCTGATTTCTAATTCATTTATAGTATAGTTGGAGAACATACATTCTTAGTGAATTTCCATGTACACTTGAAAAGAATGTGTGTTCTGTAGATGTTGGTTCAGGGTTTTTTTTTTTTTTTTTTTTTTCGGAGATGAAGTTGCACTCTGTTGCCCAGCAGGCTGGAGTGCAGTGGAACGATCTCGGCTCACTGCAGCCTCCGCCTCCCAGGTTCAAGTGATTCTCCTGCCTCAGCCTCTGGAGGAGCTGGAATTACCGGCACCTGCCACCATGCCTGGCTAATTTTTTTTATATTTTTAATAGAGGCGGGGTTTCACCACGTTGGCCAAGCTGGTCTCAAACTCCTGACCTCAGGCGATCCGCCCGCCTCGGCCTCCCACAGTGCTGGGATTACGGGCGTGAGCCATGGCGCCCAGCGGTTCAGTGTTCTTTAGATATCAGTTAGATCAACTGGTGGAGCTTGTGACTATGCACATCTTCTGTGTCCTTACTGATTTTTTACTCATCCTACAATGTATTGAGAGTTATGTTAAAATCTCCAGCTCTAATTCTAGATCTGTCTACTTGAGCAGTTTTTGCTTAAAGTATTTTGAAGCTGTCATGTGTACACATTTAGGATTGTTAAGTCTTCCTTATAAATTCAGTCTTTCATTTTCATAACATTTTAACCTTTATTTCTGTTAAATGTCTTGATGCCTAGTTATATTATTTGACCACACTTTTGCTCCTGTCAAGCCTGGGCCTTTGTTAGTTTGTGATTATTTATTAGGTTTTTGCCTGTAGACTTAGACAGTGACTCTTATTCTAGGAAAGGTTCAACCTCATGGGCCTCAGCCACATGTTCTATGTATACTTGATGAGTTCTCTCCACTCTGCTATGTCCCAAATTTGTGTGCTCTCTGGCATCTCCAGTCAGCCCTCAGAAGTGCCAGCCACTCTGCAGAGGCCTTGTGGAGCCTGCCTGCTGTATGCACTCCCCCCAGCCCTTGTCCCCAGACCTGCAGAGAACTTTTGCATTCTCTTTTGAGGCCTCACCTCTATGTAGTTCCCTCTTCTCCAGTACCTTATTCTATAAACTCCAAACATGTTAGCACTACAAGACTCTCAGCTTAGTGACAGTGACATTGCCTCATTTTTGGAGGTCTCTACCTCTCTCTGTGTGGTCAAGAAACTGCCATTGGGCAGAAAACAGAAGTGTGTGTGAGATTTGCCTCCTGTGTTTTCCTGTTTTCAAATATCACAGTCCTCTTCTGCCTGTGTTCCAATCCCCGAAAACAGTTTTCTCAAATATTCTATCCAGCTTCAGTTTTCTCGTTGGTCATGGTGGGAGGGCAAATCCATCTTGGCTGGAAGAGGAAGTCCTTCTGTGTCTTTTTCTCCTTGTCCCTCTACCTTCTTTTGCATTGTGGATTTTCTAAACTTGCCATATAAGTAAGCATGTGCCTATTTGTGAAGGGAAAGAAAAAACACTTTTAATTTTTTAAAGCTGTTCTGTTGGTTCCTCACAAGGATCTGAAGGGATTGGTAAATAGGATGAAAGAAATTCTGTCTTTCACATGGAGAATACCGTGTGTGACATTAATAAAAATGAGCATGCCTGTAAGCAAAGAGTTTCACTGAGCTCTGCTAGATTCAGAAGCAATTGAACTTACAACATCGTAGTTTGCAAAACACAGATTTGATTTACCCAGGAACTAAAGCTGAGTAAGCTATGGGTTAATAGAAGGTCTGTGAAGGGTACTTAGACTACAGTAAGATTGGGGAAGAAAATTCCATTTCCAAATCTAAGATATATCATTCCTTTGTGCCAAGCACATAATGAAGGTAGAGGTTTAAGGGGGCCCTTAGCACAGAAGCACTGGGTTAGTCAGAAGGTGAGGTGAGCTGTCACACAGCCTTGATGCTAGAATGAGGGTGCCCTGGTAGTATCTTATCAGCCATGACACTGGTGCATCGGGCCAGATTTTTTTTTTTTGTTTTTCTTTGAGACAGGCTGTTGCTTTGTTGCTCAGGCTGGAGTGCAGTGACATGATCATGGCTCAGTGCACCCTCGACCTCTTAGGCTCAAGCAATCCTCTCACCTCGAACTCCCGAGTAGCTGGGACCACAGTCTTCTACCACCATGCCCAGCTAATTTCTTAATTTTTTTGTAGAGATGGGGGTCTCCTTTTGTTGCCTAGGCTGATTTTGAACTCCTGGGCTTAAGTGATTCTCCTGCTTCCACCTCTCAAAGTGCTGGATTACAGGCATGCCAGACATATGGAAACATTCCCAAATATCTGAAAATATGTGAAAAGCTTTGTTATGCATTGTGAGACAATACATCGGGAATATTTCACAATCTGCCTAAGGTTTAAAAGGAAATAACTTTAAGCATGTGTCTAAATAGCAAGTAATGTTTTAGAGCGGATTCTCTTAAATTCAGCTTGGGCGTCTGCAGCATATACACAGCTTGAGCTGTAACCTGACATAGAGACAGGCAACTTCAGTGCCCACTGTTCTTAGGATCCACTGCTTTTTCACAGCTAAAACCCCTGAGTGGCACTGTTAAGTATTATGTTATGTTACTTTAGTCGTTAAACGTATAAGCATACCTCCAAAGGTTGAATGTAGGCCACTTGCAGAAAGTAGGCAGAATGCTCACATTTAATTCTTGATAATACTGTGTTTAGCTTTCTTATTCTTTGAAATCTCATTGAGAAGAAATACTGGCATCTGCTCAAAGTAATTTCTTTTTCTGTTGACAATATTATAAGTAATGTTATTTTATCATTTCCCTACTTGGACAGAGTGTGAAAATTTTGAGGAGCTTGTCTGCCAGAAATTTCTTCTTCATTTGCAAAACATTAATGAGATATTATATTTAAATGATTTTATTTAAGTGTACTTGGTGAAAGTGGCATAGAACATACAAAATAAAACTAATTTAAAATTATTAACTATTACATTTATAAGAAAGACTTGCTAAACATAACATTGTTGATAATGATTCTGAATAAAGCATTATTTCTTTTCCTGAAAACAATTGTAGCTATAACTCAATCATCTAAATTGCTTATTAGTTTTATTTCTTTTTAATTGTCTATTTTGATTAATTTTCTTTTTCTCCATTGGTTTCATGTGTGTGTGGAGGTAAAATATACAGAATATAGAATTTGCCAGTTTTTCTATTTTTACGTGTACACTTCAGTGGCATTTAAATACATGCACCATTTTACCTTCCCACCAGCATTGCACAGGGTTTCAGTTCCTCCACATCCTGCCCAACATTTGTTTTTCTGGTTTTCTTGGTTTCTGTTTTTTATTTGTTTTGATAATAGCATTCTAATGGGTGTGAAGTGGTATTGCATTATGGTTTTGATTTATATTTCCCAAGTGACTAGTGATGTTGAGCGTCTTTTTGAGTGCTTATTGGCCATTTGTATATCATCTTTGGAGCAATGTCCATATATATCCTTTGCCCAGTTTTGAATTGTGGCATTTGTCTTTTTGGAGTTCTCTATATAGTCTGGATATTAATTCCTTATAATGTATGTAGTTTACACATATTTTCTCCATTCTCTGGGTTGCCTTTTATTCTGTTGGCAGTGGTTCTTGATGCACAAAAGTTTTTAATTCTGATGAAGTCCAGTTTGTCTGTGTTTTCTTTTGTTGCCTGTGCCTTTGATGTTCTATATAAGAAATCATTGCCAAATTCATTGTCGTGAAGCTTTTCCCATTTTCTTCTAAAAGTTTTGTAACTTTAGCTCTTACATTTAGGTCTTTGGTCGATTTTAAGTTACTTTTTGTATTTGGTGTTAGATAAGGGTCCAACTTCATTTTAGCTAAAATTTTATGTATTTTAAAATTGATTATGAAAAGCATGAAATGTTTAGTTGAATAGAAAATTTTGTGCAGTGGAATTAACTGAATCTTTAAAAACTTTTTATTATGGAAATATCCAAATTAATTCATACATAGAAGAATATAATGAGTCCCCCATGTGCCCAGGCCCCAGCATTAATTATCAATATTTTGCCAATTTTGTTTCATTTACATACACACCCCCACAAACATTTTTTCCTAGAAAATTTTAAGTAAAATCACAGATATTACATCATTTTATCCATAAGTACATAAATGTACATTGCTTTTTTTTTATTTTTTTTATTATTATACTTTAAGTTTTAGGGTACATGTGCACATTGTGCAGGTTAGTTACATATGTATACATGTGACATGCTGGTGTGCTGCACCCACTAACTCGTCATCTAGCATTAGGTATATCTCCCAATGCTATCCCTCCCCCCTCCCCCGACCCCACAACAGTCCCCAGAGTGTGATGTTCCCCTTCCTGTGTCCATGTGTTCTCATTGTTCAATTCCCAACTCTGAGTGAGAATATGCGGTGTTTGGTTTTTTGTTCTTGTGATAGTTTACTGAGAATGATGATTTCCAATTTCATCCATGTCCCTACAAAGGACATGAACTCATCATTTTTTATGGCTGCATAGTATTCCATGGTGTATATGTGCCACATTTTCTTAATCCAGTCTATCGTTGTTGGACATTTGGGTTGGTTCCAAGTCTTTGCTATTGTGAATAATGCCGCAATAAACATACGTGTTCATGTGTCTTTATAGCAGCATGATTTATAGTCCTTTGGGTATATACCCAGTAATGGGATGGCTGGGTCAAATGGTATTTCTAGTTCTAGATCCCTGAGGAATAGCCACACTGACTTCCACAATGGTTGAACTAGTTTACAGTCCCACCAACAGTGTAAAAATGTTCCTATTTCTCCGCATCCTCTCCAGCACCTGTTGTTTTCTGACTTTTTAATGATTTCCATTCTAACTGGTGTGAGATGGTATCTCATTGTGGTTTTGATTTGCATTTCTCTGATGGCCAGTGATGGTGGGCATTTTTTCATGTGTTTTTTGGCTGCATAAATGTCTTCTTTTGAGAAGTGTCTGTTCATGTCATTCGCCCACTTTTTGATGGGGTTGTTTGATTTTTCTTGTAAATTTGTTTGAGTTCTTTGTAGATTCTGGATATTAGCCCTTTGTCAGATGAGTAGGTTGCAAAAATTTTCTCCCATTTTATAGGTTGCTTGTTCACTCTGATGGTAGTTTCTTTTGCTGTGCAGAAGCTCTTTAGTTTAATTAGATCCCATTTGTCAATTTTGGCTTTTGTTGCCATTGCTTTTGGTGTTTTAGACAGGAAGTCCTTGCCCATGCCTATGTCCTGAATGGTAATGCCTAGGTTTTCTTCTAGGGTTTTTATGGTGTTAGGTCTAACGTTTAAGTCTTTAATCCATCTTGAATTGATTTTTGTATAAGGTGTAAGGAAGGGATCCAGTTTCAGCTTTCTATATATGGCTAGCCAGTTTTCCCAGCACCATTTATTAAATAGGGAATCCTTTCCCCATTGCTTGTTTTTCTCAGGTTTGTCAAAGATCAGATAGTTGTAGATATGTGGCGTTATTTCTGACGGTTCTGTTCTGTTCCATTGATCTATATCTCTGTTTCGGTACCAGTACCATGCTGTTTTGGTTACTGTAGCCTTGTAGTATAGTTTGAAGTCAGGTAGTGTGATGCCTCCAGCTTTGTTCTTTTGGCTTAGGATTGACTTGGTGATGCGGGCTCTCTTCTGGTTCCATATGAACTTTAAAGTAGTTTTTTCCAATTCTGTGAAGAAAGGCATTGGTAGCTTGATGGGGATGGCATTGAATCTGTAAATTACCTTGGACAGTATGGCCATTTTCACGATATTGATTCTTCCTACCCATGAGCATGGAATGTTCTTCCATTTGCTTGTATCCTCTTTTATTTCCTTGAGCAGCGGTTTGTAGTTCTCCTTGAAGAGGTCCTTCACATCCCTTGTAAGTTGGATTCCTAGGTATTTTATTCTCTTTGAAGCAATTGTGAATGGGAGTTCACTCATGATTTGGCTCTCTGTTTGTCTGTTGTTGGTGTATAAGAATGCTTGTGATTTTTGTACATTGATTTTGTATCCTGAGACTTTGCTGGAGTTGCTTATCAGCTTAAGGAGATTTTGGGCTGAGACAATGGGGTTTTCTAGATATACAATCATGTCGTCTGCAAACAGGGACAATTTGACTTCCTCTTTTCCTAATTGAATACCCTTTATTTCCTTCCCCTGACTAATTGCCCTGGCCAGAACTTCCAACACTATGTTGCATAGGAGTGGTGAGAGAGGGCATCCCTGTCTTGTGCCAGTTTTCAAAGGGAATGCTTTCAGTTTTTGCCCATTCAGTATGATATTGGCTGTGGGTTTGTCATAGATAGCTCTTATTATTTTGAAATATGTCCCATCAATACCTAATTTATTGAGAGTTTTTAGGATGAAGTGTTGTTGAATTTTGTCCAAGGCCTTTTCTGCATCTATTGAGATAATCATGTGGTTTTTGTCTTTGGCTCTGTTTATATGCTGGATTACATTTATTGATTTGCATATATTGAACCAGCCTTGCATCCCAGGGATGAAGCCCACTTGATCATGGTGGATAAGCTTTTTGATGTGCTGCTGGATTCGGTTTGCCAGTATTTTATTGAGGATTTTTGCATCAATGTTCATCAAGGCTATTGGTCTAAAATTCTCTTTTTTGGTTGTGTCTCTGCTGGCTTTGGTATCAGGAAGATGCTGGCCTCATAAAATGAGTTAGGGAGGATTCCCTCTTTTTCTATTGATTGGAATAGTTTCAGAAGGAATGGTACCAGTTCCTCCTTGTACCTCTGGTAGAATTCCACTGTGAATCCATCTGTTCCTGGACTCTTTTTGGTTGGTAATCTATTGATTATTGCCACAATTTCAGCTCCTGTTATTGGTCTATTCAGAGATTCTACTTCTTCCTGGTTTAGTCTTGGGAGACTGTATGTGTCAAGGAATTTATCCATTTCTTCTAGATTTTCTAGTTGGTTTTCATAGAGGTGTTTATAGTATTCGCTGATGGTAGTTTGTTTTTCTGTGGGATCTGTGGTGATATCCCCTTTATCATTTTTATTGCATCTATTTGATTCTTCTCTCTTTTTTTCTTTATTAGTGTTGCTAACAGTCTATCAATTTTGTTGATCCTTTCAAAAAACCAGCTCCTGGATTCATTAATTTTTTGAAGGGTTTTTTGTGTCTCTATTTCCTTCAGTTCTGCTCTGATTTTAGTTATTTCTTGCCTTCTGCTAGCTTTTGAATGTGTTTGCTCTTGCTTTTCTAGTTCTTTTAATTGTGATGTTAGGGTGTCAATTTTGGATCTTTCCTCCTTTCTCTTGTGGGCATTTAGTGCTATAAATTTCCCTCTACACACTGCTTTGAATGTGTCCCAGAGATTCTGGTATGTTGTGTCTTTGTTCTCATTGTTTTCAAAGAACATCTTTGTTTCTGCCTTCATTTCGTTATATACCCAGTAGTCATTCAGGAGCAGGTTGTTCAGTTTCCATGTAGTTGAGTGGTTTTGAGTGAGATTCTTAATCCTGAGTTCTAGTTTGATTGCACTGTAGTCTGAGAGATAGTTTGTTATAATTTCTGTTCTTTTACATTTGCTGAGGAGAGCTTTACTTCCAAGTATGTGGTCAATTTTGGAATAGGTGTGGTGTGGTGCTGAAAAAAATGTATATTCTCTTGATTTGGGGTGGAGAGTTCTGTAGATGTCTATTAGGTCCACTTGGTGCAGAGCTGAGTTCAATTCCTGGGTATCCTTGTTGACTTTCTGTCTCATTGATCTGTCTAATATTGACAGTGTGGTGTTAAAGTCTCCCATTATTAATGTGTGGGAGTCCTAAGTCTCTTTGTAGGTCACTCAGGACTTGCTTTATGAATTTTGGTGCTCCTGTATTGGGTGCATATATATTTAGGATAATGTATAAAAGTAAAGAACAAAACAGGTGATGAGAGAAAGACATACCACGTCTTTCTCTCACAAGAAGAAGTGAGCTCTTCTTGTTGAATTGATCCCTTTACCATTATGTAATGACCTTCTTTGTCTCTTTTGATCTTTGTTGGTTTAAAGTCTGTTTTATCAGAGACTAGGATTGCAACCCCTGCCTTTTTTTGTTTTCCATTTGCTTGGTAGATCTTCCTCCATCCTTTTATTTTGAACCTATGTGTGTGTCTGCACATGAGATGGGTTTCCTGAATACAGCACACTGATGGGTCTTGACTCTTTATCCAATTTACCAGTCTGTGTCTTTTAATTGGAGCATTTAGTCCATTTACATTTAAAGTTAATAGTGTTATGTGTGAATTTGATCCTGTATTATGATGTTAGCTGGTGATTTTGCTCATTAGTTGATGCTGTTTCTTCCTAGTCTCGATGGTCTTTACATTTTGGCATGATTTTGCAGTGGCTGGTACTGGTTGTTCCTTTCCATGTTTAGCGCTTCCTTCAGAAGCTCTTTTAGGGCAGGCCTGGTGGTGACAAAATCTCTCAGCATTTGCTTGTCTGTAAAGTATTGTATTTCTCCTTCACTTATGAAGCTTAGTTTGGCTGAATATGAAATTCTGGATTGAAAATTCCTTTCTTTAAGAATGTTGAATATTGGCCCCCACTCTCTTCTGGCTTGTAAGGTTTCTGCTTGAGAGATCCGCTGTTAGTCTGATGGGCTTCCCTTTGAGGGTAACCCGACCTTTCTCTCTGGCTGCCCTTAACATTTTTTCCTTCATTTCAACTTTGGTGAATCTGACAATTATGTGTCTTGGAGTTGGTCTTCTCGAGGAGTATCTTTGTGGCGTTCTCTGTATTTCCTGAATCTGAATGTTGGCCTGCCTTGCTAGATTGGGGAAATTCTTCTGGATAATATGCTGCAGAGTGTTTTCCAACTTGGTTCCATTCTCCCCATCACTTTCAGGTACACCAATCAGACGTAGATTTGGTCTTTTCACATAGTCCCATATTTCTTGGAGGCTTTGCTCATTTCTTTTTATTCTTTTTTCTCTAAACTTTCATTCTCACTTCATTTCATTCATTTCATCTTCCATTGCTGATAGCCTTTCTTCCAGTTGATTGCATCGGCTCCTGAGGCTTCTGCATTCTTCACGTAGTTCTCGAGCCTTGGTTTTCAGCTCCATCAGCTCCTTTAAGCACTTCTCTATATTGGTTATTCTAACTGGGAGGCACTCTCCAGCAGGGGCACACTGACACCTCACACTGCAGGATACTCCAACAGACCTGCAGCTGAGGGTCCTGTCTGTTAGAAGGAAAACTAACAAACAGAAAAGACATCCACACCAAAAACCCATCTGTACATCACCATCATCAAAGACCAAAAGTAGATAAAACCGCAAAGATGGGGAAAAAACAGAACAGAAAAACTGGAAACTCTAAAAATCAGAGCACCTCTCCTCCTCCAAAGGAACGCAGCTGCTCACCAGCAACGGAACAAAGCTGGACGGAGAATGACTTTGAAGAGCTGAGAGAAGAAGGCTTCAGATGATCAAATTACTCTGAGCTACGGGAGGACATTCAAACCAAAGGCAAAGAAGTTGAAAACTTTGAAAAAAATAAATATACATTTCTTAACGTGGTATGTCTTTCTCTCATCTCCTGTTTTGTTCTTTACTTTTATACATTATACTATGTCATTATCAGACCTTGTAAAATTAACAAGAATTCCTTAATATGTCATATCCAGTTAATGATTGACTCATTTCTACTCTAGTTAAAGTACAATTTAGGAGGAGGTTTGAGGATGTTTTTTAACATTAAGATATAAACTTTTATAACAACTGCTAAAATAATTATTGCTAGAGTCTAACATTTATATTGGCAAATTGGACATTAGTATACATAGACATAGATTCTGCTCATTTTGCTTTCAATCTAAAATCGTAGTTAAGATTACTGGCTGGGCGCGGTGGCTCACACCTGTAATCCCAGCACTTTGGGAGGCAGAGGCGGGTGGATCACGAGGTCAGGAGTTCAAGACCAGCCTGGCCAATGTGGTGAAACCCCGTCTCTACTAAAAATACAAAAAAAATTATTTGGGCATGGTGGCAGGCTCTTGTAACCCCAGCTACTCGGGAAGCTGAGGCAGAGAATTGTTTGAACCCAGGAGGTGGAGTTTGCAGTGAGCCAAGATCGCATCACTGCATTTCAGCCTGGGTGACTGAGCGAGACTCCATCTCAAAAAAAAAAAAATTACTATGCTAGAAAGTCTTCCTGTAGAGGCATTTTTAAGAAGCATTATGATAGGCATTGCCTCTGGAAAGCAGGCATGAATAGATGGCTGGGGTCTATCATGAGAGAGACTGTTCTCCATATATCACTTTGTACCTTCACATGTTGCCTTTTGGTTTGTTTTGGTCTTTTTTTGAGACAGGACCTTGCTCTGTCACTCAGGCTAGAGTGCTGTGGCATGATCATAGCTCACTATAACCTTGAACTCCTGGGCTCAAGTGATCCTCTTTCACAGCTCCCCGAGTAGTTGGGATTACAGGCATGCACCCTCATGCCTGGCTGTATGTTGCTATTGTGTATTTTAAAACCTAATCCTGACTGTGCTGGTAGTCGCATGAATCTGTGCATATATATGCAAACAAGTACATGTAAAACTGGTGAAATCTGAATAAGCTTCATGGATTATATCAATGTCAGTTTCCTGATTCTAACAATGTATGATACTTATGCAAGATGTTATCACTGAGACAAAGCGAGTAAAGGATATGTGAGATCTTCCTAGTATTTCTTATGACTGCAAAATAAAGTTTTTAAAACTAAGTTATAATAACAAAGAACTCTGTGTCAAAACTAAAATATAAAGTTGTAATATCAATTTTATTTTTTAGGAATCTGGTGAACAGTAACAAACTTTGGTGAAATTTCAGGAACCCTAGCCATTGAAATGGATGAGGGAACCTATATACATGCACTCGACAATGGTCTTTTTACCCTGGGAGCTCCACACAAAGAAGGTTTGTGTCTGGAACGGAAGATCCTGCCACAAGTGTAGATTTTAGGACATTCATTCACTTAGGCCAAACTCTAACTAGTCTCAAACATTTTCCAAAGGAATGGAACCATTGCATTTGACTCTTCCATTTTTTTAAATTCCTTAATATTTACCAGCCATTGGCAAGTCCCTCTTTCTAATATAAGCATTTGAAAACATTCCGTATAGTTCCAGAAGAGTATCTTTGGAAATCAAAACAATATGAATAATTAAAATAGTAAGTGGAGAGAAAAAAGAAAACCTATTTGAGTCAAACATATTTGAATTTCTTTTTTATTCAGACCTATTACCAAAACTAACTTGGGTGCATTCAACAGTTTGAAGTTTCCACATTTTCTTTAGCCCATTAGAGGAAGCACTAATGAGATATGAAGTAACTAGAAGATAAAAAGCAGTATCATTTCATCAGCAAGGCCATCCATTGAATAAATGAAAGCATTTAGCTTTTTTAAATAAGTGCTTATTTATGACTGTATTTTAAAACATAAAGAGAAGCTATCTTGAAAGTTATTAAATAAGCA
>NC_000009.12:60738432-60779521 GCF_000001405.40 Homo sapiens | reverse complement strand
ATCTGAGCACATCACTTCATAGTAAGAACATTTCTATTTACAAGCAGTAATGTATCAAGGCTAAAGTTACAAATTTGGTCGATGGTATAAGTCTCATAAAGTTTTTGCCATGTTGAATTTTTTTAAATGATGTTGGTTTTGTCAGTTCATGATAGTTTATTTTTTAAATGTTTTACCAAAATGGTCAAAATATCTTACATTTAAATGTTTATTCTGTTATAAATAGTAGACTTATGGATTTCTTAAATATTTGTTGTAAGCATCTAGTGAGGCAGTCGTAATCCCACTAACTATATACAAACCAAAAAGCCCTTTTTATGTTTAAAACACACACGCTGTGAAGGAAGTTATTCCAAAAACTCCAGACTGTGAACAGACATTAACCTTCTACTTTGACAACATCTAATTTTCCTGAAGAACAATTAAAACCCAGGGAGCCTCAATTAGAAGCACTTTCACTTTGGTAATAAAGGCCAAGTTTTAATGTTTAGGTTTTAGTTGCATTCATTTTTCATACCAATGAACTGCATCATGCTCTTCCTTCAGCACACAAGCTGCAACCAGGCCACAATTTTATCATTTTCATCAGGGCCCAAACATATGCCATCTCTACTCAAAGCCCTGCTAATTCCTGGAGGTTTCTTCAGAGAGCTGAGTTGAGGAGAGAATTATTCAGCAAAGGTAACTAACATGGATGCTAATGTATATAATCTGGCTGAGAAATCAGCTTTTCTTCAACAGCTAACTGTGCCTTATTCTTTCTGGTCACTTTCTCCAAGAGGAGCACTGGGCTCTGCTAGTGGATCTAAAGTTTTCCCTAGTGTATTTTCCAGCCATATTCTAGAGATGTGCCCCTTCTCCTGAACTGTGTGGTGTGGTGAAGGTGGGGACATGATGAGGACTTAGCTCTCAGAGTTAGCAATGCTGCATGCATCCAGGATCTGCTACTCACTGGGGGACCTTCTACAAGTCACTCAGCCTCTCTGGTCCTGTTTCATTATCTATACAATGAGGAACCCTGTCTACATTCTCTCTAACTATCATATAGCTCCAAAGTTTCTATGAAGCCCAGATGTTCCACTCAAGGAATTTAGTATCTTTACACCTTCATTTTCAAGAAAAAATGAAGCTTCTCCTCCCAAAATATTAGAAACCAGTGCTAAAAGTCTAGAATATTTTAGTGTCTATGAATTTTAAAATCCTGTTTTAATTACAAAATAATAATCAGAAGAGTAGGAAGGAGACAAGTTAATAAACAAGCAAAAGCTTTTTCCCTAACAAATAATCAGCCAAGGAAGAGATGAACATAAGAATTGACATAGTTAATTCTCCTAGAATGAATATAGTGCAGGAGTTACTCCATGATATAGAAAATAAGGTATAACCCCAAGCTGTCATTTGAGGACCAATAAGTCATTGAATGACACTTTGATTCCTAGATGCAAATATTTTAAAGACTTTTTTATTAATACAAAATTGTGGATTGAGGCATCACTGAGAATCCCAAGTAATGAGCATCCACAGCCATGTCTCTCTCAATATGCACCATGCGGGTCTGGGTCCTTCTCAGGGTCCAGGCAGGGTATACTATTTATGCTCCCCTATGTCTGCTCTTCTTCTGCAGGAGGCATTTTTCCCACCTTCATAGCTGTCTCCGTTCTCTTCTACTTTACAGTTTACAGGAAAGCTACTTGCTGTAAGTCAGCCTGTTTTAGCCCTTGAGATGCAAAGAGCTTTGCATGTGAAGCTCTATATGCAAAGCTATGGAATGTGGCACTCCATTTCTCTGTCAGTAAAATCTATCTTGAAAGTCTTTTGTTCAGGACTCAGAAATATGATTTTACAAAATAAAAGTAGAACACTGACTTTAATGGAATAAAATAATATACCAGAAAAAAAAAACTCTCTCTACATTTTATCCCTTTTGCACAAGTAATGCCCAGTGGAGTCAGTCCCCTGCCCCAAGGCCTCACTGATAACTCTTTTCCCCCATTAAGCTTAGCCTTCCTTTCTAAGAAATATCCTCTCCTTAAGCCTAAATCTGAATGCTATTTCAACCAGATTTTACTTTGGTAAAAATTATACCAACAGAGATCCGAGTGCCATTCTCCTCCAAAGTACCACAAAATCCAAGGATAACAAGGAGTGCTTACTACGTGACAGAGGAAGTACTAAGTTCTCTGCTTGTATTGACTCATGTAACCCTCTCAAAAGCCCTATGTGTTAAGTTTCCCATTTAATGAATGGAAAACTGAGTCCTAGAAAGATTAATTGGCTACCTAAGAGCATACAGTTAGAAAGGGTGGATCTGGGATTTCACCAGATGCACATGTGGCTTTGTGAAATCTGACAGGGATGTCAATATCCCGACAGGTAAAGTGAGGTTATAATTTTCTCTTATTTTCTATTCTTTTTCTAAAAATCATGTGCTCAAATCTTACAGGACTGTGTACTCAAGAGGCTAGCTATTATTCTCCACTGCTTTTTAAGCAGCAAAATCTTTTTCATTAAATGACATCTTAAGTAAAAGCTTAATATATACAACATGTCAAACAGGGGTTGCTGTATTAGAGGTGAGGTATGGATGTGCTGGCTGCAGGTGAGGGCAAAGGGCAAAGGGCAAAAGGGCAAAGGGCAAAGCCCGAGTTACCTTCTTCAAGGCAACTCTGCCACAACTTGAAAACATCTTAGGCCTCAGTTTGAAATGCTTCTCCTACTTTCGGGAGTCTTCAGCATCAAAATTTCTCCCAGATAACCTGACAAAACTGTAGAACATCAGACCTGGAATGACTGAAAGACCACCGGGCTCAGTGTTTACCTGAGGTGGGCAAGTGGCTGAGCAGCTCAGGAGTGGGCCCCCTTAGTCTTGTCCCATCTTACTTTGTACTACACTGTTCTTTAGAGAAAGCTTCCTTTTGGAGACCAACCAGGACTCCTTAGAAGCAGAGGTGACAAAGCAAGCTTTCTAAATGATTTGGGGGAAAAGACAAGTCTTCCTTTCACATTTTTGGAAGGAAATACTTTTAATAAGGCAGGGATTCTCCAATGAACTGGTCTAAACCACTGCTTGCGGCCTCATGCCTGGCCTGCTTCACCCACTCAACAGAATCACCTCGTCTCTGAAGGTGGTTGTGTTTGAAACACGTGCTTTATGGAGCAGCTGCTTACAGGCTTAAAAGGGAATCAGAGGTGTCGGTTCAATCAATCTGCCCCCCTGTAAGCTTCATGAGGACAATGACTCTGTCTCCCTGATGCACGTGAACCTAGCACCGGCACCCTGGAGCAGAGCAAGTGCTCAATACTGATCGTGTTTGCTTAATTGATAAGCCATTAGTGTGCGCTCTAATAAACTGCTTTAGAAGAATGCTTTAGGAGTTGGAAGTATAGATCTGCCTAACATACACTTAGAAAAAATTAGGCAGATCTTTTAAATGCTTACATTTTAGTAAGGAAAACAATTGATCATTAGGGTGAACGCTGCATCATTATTTTACAATCTACAAAGTAACAGGAAAGTGTACAGATTTGGCAAACCACAGAATTAACCATTGTATCTGACTTACATTACTCATTTGCTCATGGATGAGATTCTAACAGAGATGCGTTTGGCATTTTCACAAATGCTCTGCGTTTCAAAGAGTAGATCAGCTAATTTTGCGCTGAAACCCTTAAACTTAATGGGGACAATGTATCTCACCTCAAATCTTCAATCAGATGTGCTGATCAAACCCACATGAAGCACATTTATTCTTGGAAAATATTTTCAGTTTTACTATTTACTATTGTAATTCCCATTCATAAAATAGCCAGCATTTGCCATTATATTTTACAGAGACATCTTTAACAACTTTTTACAAGAATGACTGCAATATTTTAGGTTATCAATAAACTGGTGTGGAAAATGCAGCATTCTTAAAAGTTAGTCATGGCACTAGTGCATTAATTATACATTAGAACAATTAGCCTTAAAGAGATTATAGATTTATAAATTGTAAATTATGCCAAGTATTTTGAAATTAGGTACCTGTGAGTTATGACCCTGTGTTTTGAAAGAACAACTTGTAACTATATTGCTGATATCTTGATTATAATATTTTATGCCAACATTATGTTAAAATATAATATCCCATTATAAAAGTTCCAGAGACAAGCCACAATATGTAAATATTTCTGTATTTTAATTTACAGAGCTTATTTTTTCATTTGCCCTGATAACTGAATTAACATTGTCAAGGGAAATTCATATGAATCAAAAAATGCAATAAATTAGACCCTTAAAATAATTCATAGTTCATGAGTTGCCCATTTTAAGGTCAAAGTTTTTAGCAAAAGCTCACAACTCTTATGGCACTATCTTTTAGGTACAGTTTAAAACTTTGAATATGCTTTGTTTTCAAGTGTTTATGAATAATTTCTTCAATAATAAAAAAAATCATATACTTTGAAGAAAGGGCCTATCTCATTCTTCTTGCCTGGCCACATGGTCTCATGGGTACAATTCAATATTTTAATAATTTCTACTATTCCTGAGATAGTCAAACAATTTCTCATCATCATCTCACCATCACAATCTTAATGAGAAGTCTCAGTTTCTGAGTGTCAGCCAGAGAGCAGATACCAGGAATTGTGCTCTAATCCTCATAACAAAACTTCAAGATCTCTCGGCAAAGAAAAGTCAAACCAAGATTCAAAACCATGGTTGTGGATTCCAAAGCTGAACCCTTTCTGGCCATGATGCCTCCTTTAGCCAAGTGGTAATTCAACAGTTAGCTTTATAATATGTCACAGATGATCCATTAAATAGTTTCTAACACTGTTCTGATTCATCTCTTTTACAATATATTGAGAATAATAGCATTTCCACAAAGGTTATTTCAAATGAAAAGACATTTACTATCTTTGTGCTATCATTTACCCTAAAGAGCCTATATTTTTCCAATAATGTAGTTTCCACTCCTGGGAAAGCACAGCTCTTTTATACAAATGGCATGAAATCAGAGGGATGCTGTGCAAATGCTGTGCTTCTCCAAAATGAATTTTTAAGATTGACCCCAAAACTCATCTTCTCCTTTCAATTTACATAATATCTCTTACAAAACTGCCAAAACCATATTTCAAATTTAAAATGTCTTGGACAAAGGGAAAAATGCTCTGAAATATCAAATTACATGTACTTTATTTCTTTCACTGTGACGACTCCAAAATATAACCTCAGCTTCAGCTATGATTTCTCTTAAAAATTCTATTAAAATGCAAAGAAATAGTTGGTTGTAGGTGGCAGAGCCTTCTGAGATCCCTCTGGCAGTTTGAAAATATGCCCTTAAATTCTTTAACACTTATTTAAAAATAGAGTCTAATTTCCCTCTCTTTGAATATGAGCCAGATTTACTGGCTCACTTCTAATGACTGTAATATGGTAGAAATGACACCATGTGACTTCCTCAGCTCAGTTAGGAAAGGCCAGACACCTATGCCTGGCTCCCTTCTGCTCTCCTGGTACACTCACCATTGGATCCATCTACTACGCTGAGAGGAAGCTGAAGAGCCACATGGAAATCCAACAGCTAGTATCAACCACTAGATGTGTGAGTGGATGAGCCTGCAGATGATCCTCGCCCCTGGTCTTTGAGCCATCCCCAAACCATGCGGAGTTATTGCATATTCATAAACAAAATAAATGCTGTCATTTTTTCATTTTTTTTTTTTTTTTTTTTTTTTTTTTTTTTTTTTGAGACGGAGTCTCGCTCTGTCGCCCAGGCTGGAGTGCAGTGGCGGGATCTCGGCTCACTGCAAGCTCCGCCTCCCGGGTTCACGCCATTCTCCTGCCTCAGCCTCCCGAGTAGCTGGGACTACAGGCGCCCGCCACTACGCCCGGCTAATTTTTTGTATTTTTAGTAGAGACGGGGTTTCACCGTTTTAGCCGGGATGGTCTCGATCTCCTGACCTCGTGATCCGCCCGCCTCGGCCTCCCAAAGTGCTGGGATTACAGGCGTGAGCCACCGCGCCCGGCCCATTTTTTCATTTTTTAAGCCACTAAATTTTGGGTGGTTGTTCTGTGGAAATAGATAGTCAGAGCAAGCCCATTCAACCATTTGTTTTGGGGTTCCAAATAGAAAGCATCTTGAATAACGTAGATTAAATAACAGTAAATGCAAATGCAGACACCAAACATATCCTAGAGGAATCTTGGAGAACTTTAGTCTTGCTGCTTTTTATTTTTACATCTCATCAGCAGTACTGATGTTTCATCAGGATCAATGGAGAATTAACAATGGAGTTAATATTTTTTCCCTTTATTAGTTTGGGGAAAAGGTAGATCTCATAATCTGGTGTACTCCTTTTGGAAGCTTTTCATATTATCCTATCCTTTATCACAGGCTCCTCACATTCAGCATGTCCTAAACCAAATATTTTTTCTCCTACCCATTGACTCCTCCCCCTATGATTCTCATCATTATCAATGGAATTTGACTTAGAAATCTATTCCTTTCTCTTCTCCTTCCCTATAGTCAATCATTAAATCTTGTAGATATTATCTCCTATCACTGATCATTTGATATAACTCACCAAATTTCACTAATAATAATCAAAGTGGTAATACATTTGACAAACTCCAAAAAAAGATAATTTTTTTCTTTTTCTTTTTATATGGGGTCTCGCTCTATCTCTCAGTCTGGAGTGCAATGGCATGATCTTGGCTCATTGCAACTTCTGCCTCCGGGGTTCAAGCGATTCTCCTGACTCAGCATCCCAAGCAGCTGGGACTACAGGCATGCGCCACCACGCCCGGCTAATGTTTTTCGTACTTTTACTAGAGACAGGGTTTCACTATATTGGCTAGGCTGGTCTCAAATTCCTGACCTCAAGCAATCTGCCAGTCTCAGCCTCCCAAAGTGCTGGATTACAGCTGTGAGCCACCATGCCAAGCCAAAGAAAGATAGATTTTTAAAATGTTTCTAATAATAGAGAAAGTAAAGATGCTACGTTAGAACACATTATCTGTTCCCCTTCCCGAAACAGCGAATTATTGTTTCGGTTTGTGAAAATATCCAAATGCACAGTACATAGAAAACTGCAATGACTTCCTTTAATGTGTACTCATAGAAACTCAAGATCAGGAGTGACTTCTCCAAGACCCCACATTCGCCTGCTTCCTTTGCGCCCCTCTCAGGTGCATATTTTCTGTTTTTTTTTTTTTTTTCATAACTCTTTTCAGGCATGGTCCCTCCGTTTATATTTTCAAAGACACTTAGCCAGGTTAATATCCTGTCAGTCTTTTCACACACTAGAAGTTAGCCTGTTCATATACGGGCCAATGGATCAGAAAATCAGGGAAGAATCCAAGGAAATCAAATCACCATGTGTAGTTAATAAACTCGTATTTATTGCTTATCTATCAGCAGATGCTTCTAAAAACATCCATGCCCAGGCCCCACCACAGTCCCATTAAATTAGTGTCTGGGGGAAGGGCTCAGGCCTCAGTATGTCCAGAGCTCTCCTGGTGATGCCAGTGAGCAGCCAGGGCCGAGAACCACTAGCCAGGGTGTGCCTACTATTACGAAGGTGTTTTCAGAGATACACAGAAAGCACCTCAGATAAATTCTGTAAACATCTCTGTAATTGAAAAAAGTTATAATATGTGAGAGGGAGAACACTAATTCAACTCATTTTTTACTAACTGGACCAATTATTTTACCAAAACAAGTGTATATTGTAGGCTTGGTCGTAAGGTTTCTGTATTGAAAGAATGTAGAGCATCTGTGAGACGGAATGTCTTTTGGGTTTTGGTGGGTGTGGAGTCTAACCTAACCAATATTTTGAGTAAAATGTTAGAGAATGGAGACACTGATCTTTGTTTAAATCTTATTTTCTCCATTCATTGATGTGCTGGAGATAGCAAGCCACAGCTGATGAGGACCTAATATTGCCCTCGTGAGCACAGACCTTCTGCTGTTTTCTACAACAAAGAAAACAGTATCTCTGCATCATTGTTCAGGCTTCCAGCAGAAAAGGTGCAGGCATGAGTTCAGAGAAGCACTACTAGTGAAGCCGGGGCGCCCCACAGCGCCCCCCGACAGAGGGGTGAGATGATTTGTGGGTGCTCTACACTGCGTGACTAAAACATTTGGAGGCTCGCTATTACTTTGCCTTTCATTCCCTTGTAGGAAACTATAGATTCAAATGGGTTGGTATGGCTGGTTAATTTTAATTTATAACTCTATGTTTATTTAAAAATTGGATAAAATTCATGCTGACTGTATTTTATTATATACAAACATATCCATGCTTACTTCCATTTATCCATACAACAAATTCTACTCATAGTATCTATTTAACTCGTACTATTAGAAATGATGAAATAAAATTGTTACTTAAATTTTATTTAAATCTAATAAGATATATTCAGTATTGTTTAGCTCATAATTGTATAGAAATGAATGTATACATTTATATATTTTTTCTTGAATAATCAAGAGGAAAGACATTCTCTGCTATAATATGAAGTGTCAAAGGTGATTGTTGCACCAGGCACGGTGTGGCTCACACCTGTAATCCCAGCACTTCAGGAGGCCGAGGTGGGCGGATCATTGAGATCTGGAGTTGGAGACCACCAGCCTGACGAACATGGTGAAACCCCATCTCTACTAAAAATACAAAAATATTAGCTGGGCGTGGTGGTGCACTCCTGTAATCCCAGCTACTCGGGAGGCTGAGGCAGGAGAATCGCTTGAACCTAGGAGGTGGAGGTTGCAGTGAGCCGAGATCGCACCACTGCACTCCAGCCTGGGCAACAGAGTGAGACTCTGTCTCAAAAAAAAAAAAAAAAAAAGATTTCGTATAATGGGCAGCTGCTTTTACCTGGAACGCAATAAATCCTCACATACTTTCTGAAAACTGACTTTGAGATTCTGTCTTAAAAAAAAAAAAGGTGATTGTTGGGGATATAAATAGTCTATTTGTTCCTATAAAAAAAAATCTTTCGTAAATCCCCTGGCATATAGGAAAGGTAGAGGAAATGCTGGTGTACCAGGCCTCATGGGTAACTCTCCCATTTCCTCAGGGTGCTCCACCGCCAAGACCCTCTCGGAGAGCCATGAGCGCAATGCTGACTCCCGTTCTGCCCTCGCTGGCCCCCGTGCCAGATCTCCATGCGGCTTCTGGTTGTTTCCATTGCTCGTTCTGATGTGGGAAGTTGCTTATTTCCAACATGGAGGGAAAAAAAGCCCTTATAGCCCCACTATACATTAGGCTTTAATTAGCAATTACCACCCTAATGAAAAGAATCAGCAACGCTTTTTACAATGCCCTGAGGTGTTGTTGGTGAGAATTTTTCTTTTAGACTACTACCACAAATACAACTTTTTGACTCAGAGATGTAGTGGTTTTAGAGTTTAAGATTTGACTGCCATGCAGTTGATTTATCAAATGTACTTACTATATTTAAACACAATCTCAAATTCTGTTTTGTTTTTTTTTTTTTTTTTTGAGACCGAGTCTCACTCTGTGGCCCAGGCTGGAGGAGTGCAGTGGCGCTATCTTGGCTCACAGCAACCTCCATCTCCCAGGTTCAAGCGATTCTCCTGCCTCAGCCTCCCAAGTAGCTGGGATTACAGGCGTGAGCCACCATGCCCGGTCCACAATCCCAAATTCTTACTTGGGATATTATATTCAAAGAAATATAAAGTGGCCGAGCGCGGTGGCTCACGCCTGTAATCCCAGCACTCTGGGAGGCTGAGGTGGGCCAATCATGAGGTCAGGAGTTCGAGACCATCCTGACCAACATGGTGAAACTCCATCTCTACTAAAAACACAAAAATTATCCGGGCGTGGTGACACATGCCTGTAATCCCAGCTACTCAGGAGGCTGAGGCAGGAGAATCACTTGAACCGGGAGGCAGAGGTTGCAGTGAGCTTCGACTGTGCCACTGCACCCCAGCCTGGGCGACAGAGCGAGACTGCATCTCAAAAAAAGAAAAAAAAAAGAAAGAAGAAATATAAAGTGATACCTTGTTAAGTAATATTTCCATTATAGTTTCTGTCTGCAACTACATGAAGCCCTCTGTGCCCTTGCAGTAATGGCAACTAAATCCAGCAAACAGAGTCGCATCTTCTATTACCACCATTTCCCCGATGGATTCTTCCAGGCAATGGAGGCACAAGTCAGCTTCATGCCTGGCTGCATATGGAAGAAAGCAATTTTCATAAATCCTCAGCTCCATACAATGGGAAAAGCTCATTTAGTTTCTGAGGTAAATTAATATTTTTTGTCTCACACTTTTTTCTATTTTCTTTTGTTTTTATAATTATCATACAGTAAAATTGACCTTTTTGTGGTGCACATTTCTATAAATTCTAAGACATATATATAACGATCACCACAATAAGATACATTTCTATCACCCTAAAAAAATTCCCACATGCTGCCTCTTTATCAAAGCCTCCCTTATGCCACCAAGCACTGGCAATCACCGATCTATTTTCTATCCCTATAGTTTTATCTTTTGAGAATGTCATATAATGGAATCAATACAGTATGAACTTTTTGAATGACTTTGTTCACTCACCATAACACCACTGAGATTTATCCAAGGTGTTGCATGAGTCGATAGTTTCAAGAAAATGTCTACTATTTTCCTGCCAAGGGACAGGTTTCCTTGGGCACATCCTAGACTCAAAGAAATCATTAAAAAATTCAATATCTTATTATCTTTATGTCAACTAGATTACCAGACAGAATTTTCTTTGTTAAAGGAATTTCTATTCTTTGTTTCTTAAAGTAACTAATTTTGGCTAAAAAAAAAAAAAAAAAAAAAAATCTGCTCCTGGATTTCACAGGATGAAATCTGGCTTAAATGCACTAAATCGCCTTGTGACTCCTTAGTTCTCATGACTTCTAAGAGCAAAAGACAATTTCCCTACTGCATGCAGCCAACTCTACAAATATTAAAATCTAGAACCTAATGTAGTGGAATAAATTCATATGAAAGCTACAGAATGCACTGAACTTTCAGCTAATGTAGAGTTCAAATAAGAATTCCCTCTTTAATGTCATAATACAAAACGTTCACATCAGGTAAGTATTGATTACAAACATCTATTTTAACAATTTGGTCCCTGGAAACTACCTTACAGCATGGTTCTTGCAAATGTTACTTCAAATTAAAGTTAAATGTTAAATATTATATATATGGAGAAAGAGAGATTCTTTTTTCAGAAAAATACCCTTCAAACTAATTTTAATGCGAACACCACATTTTAACCAAAAAAATTATCTTCAGTTTTCCATTTATTTGGCATATATGGCAGACAAAAAAACAATCAATTTATTTTTCTAAAGACAGGTATGTTATATGTGTCATGTGTATCATATGTTAAGTTGATTTTAATAAGTCTGTGTAAAGAAATTTATTGAGATAAGCATTTGGTGAGCATGTGTTTCTTCTTAACTGGTCACTTTCTGTTGGTAAGCGGGTATCTAACTGCAAACGACAACTTTACTATGCAAGGCACCAACCTCACTTGGGAGCTTGTTTGAAATGCAGACTTCCCTACTTACACCTACGTTGACTTGGAATCTGCATTTAACATGATCATAAGGATCTTGCACATTACAATTTGAGAAGCACTGCCCTAAAACATCTGACGAATAAAACCGGAACACTTTCACTGCAAATGTGCTATTTACATTAGCATGACTACTGTGGAAAAAAATCCACTAAGCTTGAATTTTGAACTAGTTGAAAGCAGATTGTGATAATGTAAGACTGTTTTGAGAAATGCAAGCACTAACTATCCCTTAGCAAATATAAAGATGCCACATGTGGTCTAATGTAATATTAGACCTTCCGTCTTCTCAGGAGGCAGAGCCATTATGTTCCAACCTGAGCCTCTGAGCTACCATTACTTGTTTCTATTCTTAGCCTTCATGAATACAGGTCACTTATTGGGATTATACTATTCTAACAAAAAAAAATGTGTTTTCCAATGGGAACTACAACAAAAATAGATGAATTTCTTAAGAAACAAATTTTTATTCCTAAACAAATATAATCATATTTGTAAGACATAAGAATAAATGAAAAAAATTAGTAATTAGGTAAAGAGTACATTTATTTTCAAATTCTGTAGTTCCCCTCAAGATACCACTATTGACGTGGTTGCAAAGCATTATTTGCAATTGTTATGTCAAAGTCGTGTTGTGTCTAAAGAAAGACTACCTGACTCTTGTTTCCAAATTGTTCCACTTATACAATTTGTGCTTTTCCTAGTGTCAAAGGCTTTCCAGCCAGAATGATTCCATCTTGAGTGAAGGCTAAGAAAATAAGGCTGGGACTTGCTGGGCTGCATTCATAGAAAGTTAGGCATTCCTAGCCTCTAGATGTTTACTGCTAAGAGAACAGATTGATAATGTTTACTAAACAGGCCCAGACTTGGGATTGTCTTGATATCCTGATATCTTGAGAACAGAAGCATTCCTAATTTTGCTTTAAAGATAATAATATCGATCCTTGCAAAATATAAGAAAATTAATCCTTTATCACAAACCCTTGTAGCATAGCACATCTTCCCATGATCTTTATTTATCCTATATATAAACAAGCGTTGTACCTAGGGTGGACGCGTTCCTCTTCTTCCTTTTGGGAACTCCTGGCTCTGTCTATGGAGTAGCTGTTCTTTTGCCACTTTACTTTCTTAATAAATTTGCTTTTGCTTTGCACCGTGGACTGGCCCTGAATTCTTTCTTTCACGAGATCCAAGAACCCTCTCTTGGGGTCTGTATAGGGACCCCTTTCTTGTAACACTAGCAAGGAAGTCCCTTCCAGAGAGCTCTCTCTGGTTTAGCAGCACACTTATATTGGTGCAGGATGGGAACATTCCATAAAGACATATTCACATTTGTTCAAAGTCTTCTGCATCAACTACCCCCAGACTTTGATGTATTCTGCCTTTAAAATCACGCTATGTCCCAGTCACTTTTTGTTGCCTTCCCTTCCAATCCAGTTGAGGAATCCCTCCGGGAAAGTAAAATCTGTCTACTTGTGCTCTCCGTCCACCTCCTGGCATCTCCTGTCAACTATTTCCCTACTCTCTTGTTCTTTCAATAATTCCCATCCTACTGGAACTTTCTATCAACGTTTCAAATTGTTATCTAAATGTCACTTATCTGAAAACAAATAAAAATAAATCGCCTTTCTTTTTTTTTTTTTTTTTTTTTTTGAGACGGAGTCTCGCTCTGTAGCCCAGGCCGGACTGCGGACTGCAGTGGCGCAATCTCGGCTCACTGCAAGCTCCGCTTCCCGGGTTCACGCCATTCTCCTGCCTCAGCCTCCCGAGTAGCTGGGACTACAGGCGCCCGCCACCGCGCCCGGCTAACGCCTTTCATGACTCTATTTCAAACTTTTTTTTTTTTTTTGAGACGGTCGGAGTCTTGCTCAGTCACCCAGGCTGGAGTGCAGTGGTGTGATCGTGGCTCACTGCAAGCTCCGCCTCCTGGGTTCACGCCATTCTCCTGCCTCAGCCTCCGGAGTAGCTGGGACTACAGGCACCTGCCACCACGCCCGGCTAATTTTTTTTTTTTTTTGTATTTTTAGTAGAGACGGGGTTTCACCATGTTAGTCAGGATGGTCTCAATCTCCGGACCTCGTGATCCACCCACCTCGGCCTCCCAAAGTGCTGGGATTACAGGCGTGAGCCACTGCACCCAGCCGACCCTATTTCAATCTTTTTAGCTTTCACTGAATGTTTCTCTACCTGTCCGTGAATGAATGGTCTCCCTTTATTTTCCATTTGTCTTTCACATATTCCAACTTAACATTTATTTCCACAACTGACATTTATTTGATAAAGGTCCTTTGAATACATTTTAGCTCTAATATGCCTACTCTGTCTTTAATGTGTGACAATTTCACTAATGGAAATACAATCATATGTGCCCTGTAAATCTCCCAAGTTGTCTCAATTCTCCAAAGAATTACATCATGTCTGTCCACACCCACCAAACACAAAACTGAAAAGTGACCAGTTCAGCTTCAGGCTAGTGTTTTTTCATTCCACCAAAGCCACATTATATTTAATTAACGAAACTAATGCCTATAAAGTTAACAATAAAGGAATATAACACATATACCTGAATATACCTCTATTCAAAATTATTTTCCAAGAATGAATAAATGTTCACATTTTATTAGAGAAAATGAAACAATCATAATATCTGAGATTTATTTCAAAACTCTTTTTTTTACTGACACATGTTCTTGTCCACAGGCCAATGGAAACAGACATGTGTAGCATTATTTAGATGATCAACTGCATTAATTCTTCATATATTAGTCATTGACAATAGACCTACAAAGAGAGTATTTCTCATCCTTGATATAAATTACAGTTTTCATCATTGAATTTACTTACTCAACAGTTTTTAGACACATGTGCTTGTGGACTTATATGGAATTCCTGAGGTTGAACTTGCTGTGTGATAAATCTTCTAGCTTTAAATACAGAGTCTGTTTAAACAGGGTGAGTTGTAAATTATCTGACAAGGAAATGGATTTTATGTGGAAAATGCACATTTTCTCACAGGCAGGGCCCATGAAACTCATGGTTTGAATATTTTCAGATAGCAGAGCCTTTGACAAGTAAAAGAAACAAGACTATTGTAAACACTGAGCTTATTCGAAAAGCATTTTTTAAAAATTTCCAAGCTTATCAGATTATGTCTATATAAAACTAACATTTTTGTGAATTTCCAAGTATGTATTTGGCTCATTCATTGTTTCTTTTTGTCCACAGATGTACACATTTTTATAATGATTACAACAAAATAATTTAAACCATCCAGTAGGTGAAGCATTCCCCTTTTCCCAAGACAGTTGGATAAAATTGAATCAAAATTTAATTCCATGTCTGAAGGAAGTTTAACACCCTCCTCGGAAGTCTTGAAGCCTCCCAGGTACGACTGAGTAAAGCAGATTGCTCTCCACATTGTAGGTGGACCTCATATCGTTCCTTGAAGGCCTGAATGGAATGAAAGTTTGAGTAATAAATAATTGTTTCTCTATGATAGTCTTTGAACAGGATATCAGTGTCCTTCTGCCTTTGGACTCAGACTGGGACTGGAACTTACACCATCAGCTTTCCTGGTATTCAGGCCTTTGGAATTGGGGTGGACCTACATTACCAACTTCCCTGGGTCTCTAGCTTGCCAACTGCAAATTTTGGACTCCTCAGTCTCTGTAATCACATAAAGCAATTTCTTACAATAAATGTACCTATGTGTCCACATATCCATCTAAGCATCTAGTGGGTTCTGGGTTTTTTTCTTTTGGAAGGTACGTGACTAATACAGATTAGTACTGAGATTAGCGTGATTTAGTACTAACAGTGGTTCTAGAGAAACAAAATTTTAAGAATAAATTTCTTGAATTTGTTCTGAAGTTTCCAGAATTGGCTTTCTAATCTGATTAGAATTAAAGATGCTAGTGGTTCTGTTTCCAGTGGTAAAGAAAGCACTCACAGTACCTGGCGTGATTTGGCAATAGAAATATGCAAAATATCACCCTTGGATAGTCCTAATCAACTACTTACAAAAAGCATGGATATGGATGACTGTGTATATGGTACTTTCAAACATTTCCGACAAGCTATTGAATATAACAGTTTAGGACTGATTGTTCCTAATGGTGCTGGACAAAGTATAGAAAGAGAAAGATGAGCTTAACGATTAAAATTCCCAGCTCAAATGCTACCTAAATGATCTGAAAGCTTCTATGTGTGCCCTGAAGGAGACATTTATCTCCTGTAATTTCAGGTCTAAGATTGCTGAAAATGAAGCCCAGAAACTCATCCTGTGACTGGCTGAATTACAATGTAAGTTTGAACTCCCAGCCTTGTAGAGTATTTATGGGGAAAGTGAGGGCATTGATTGGGAAGGAATGGAATCTGAATATTGGAGTGGGGATGTGATGTGAGGGAAGACCTGGATGAAGCTGGAAACACTGAACCACTAAGTTCTTTTCTGCTGGAAGATGTCTCCCCAGCCCCAGGGGGAGCAGCCTCTCTACCCCCATTTGAAGAGAGTAACCTCTTAGTGACTGATGAAATTTTAGTGGCCTCCCCTGAGGAAGCTGCCATCAAGAAAATGCTGAATATTCTCAGGAACCATGCCTACCATCTTTCTTTGCTTCTGGATCTAGAACTAGACTCATCTCAGCGGGCCCCTAAAGGTGAGGTATAAAGTGTGGCCCATGAGGAGGTGTGCTACACTCTACAATAATTGTTTGAGTTTTTAAAATTATACAGACAGAAACCTAGGAAACATGTGAGAATGGATATTAAGTGTGAGAGATATTGGTGGAGGAACACCAACTTACCTCAGGCTGAAATTACTTTTACTAAGCATAGATTATACAGTTAATGTGCATCTCAGGAGTCAGAAAGGGCTCTAACACTTTCTGTGGTTGACTAAAGCTTAGACCAAAAGGTGGCCTACAGTGAGTAAGTTGGAAATGCCAGACCTGCCTTGGTTGAATGTATAGATACCCCTCTAGTTACTATAAGGTTACATCCCAATAAAGCTACCATAACTTGAAAATATTGCAAGTCAAACTGCATTTAATACACTTAACCTACCAAACATCATAGCTTAGCCTATCCTACTTTAAACATGCTCAGAACACTTACTTTATTCTATAGTTGAGCAAAATCACCTAACACAAAGCCTATTTTATAATAAAGTAATGAATAGCTGACCTAATTTATTGAATACCATACTGAAAGTGAAAAACAGAATACTTGTATGGGTACTAACCATTAATGTACACAGCTGAAAGTGCGTGGAGCCTGAAGAAAATTTGAAACATTGAACTAAAATTAATTGCTGGCTGATGGAGAGGTTATAGTGACAGGGTCATTGGTTTCTCTCTCTTCTGATGAAGCTTGAGAATGCAAAATGATACAATGGACTTTGGGGACTTGGGGGGAAAAGTGGGAGGGGGCAAGGGATGAAAGACTACAAATATGGTACAGTGTACACTGCTTGGGTGATGTGTGCACCAACATCTCACGAATCACCACTAAGGAACTTACTCATGTAACCAAATACCACCTGTACCCCCAATAACTTATGAAAAATAAGAAAAAATTAAAACATTAAAAGTATAAAAAATAAAAACCACTGGCAACACAGCACACTCACAGTACACAGCTGAGTATTGGTCATTTACCCTTGTGATGGTGTGGGTGGCTGGGATCTGTGGCTCCCTGCAGCTGCCCAGCATTGCAACAGAGTGTCATACAGCAGATCTAACCTGGGAAAAGATCAAGATTCAAAATTCAAAGTGTGGTTTCTACTAAATGTGCATCACTTTCACACCATTGCAACAGGAACCATCTTAAAGGGGACCATCTGTAGAGGAAAGCATTCAAAGGCTTAGGGAGATCGGAATGTTAGAATAGATTTGCCATTTCAGATCTAACCACCCTCATTGGGAGAAAACAGAAGATGTACTTCTTTTCACTGCTATTGTGAGAAATCAATTTGTAAGGAGAGCCTAAGTGTCTCTGAAGAGCTTTGTGATTGCCAGACCTTACAGTGGAGAATGCAGTCACTGTTTGGAAAATCTAGACAATGGGAGTAATTGGATCCCAGGATGGCAGGAGCCAAGGGGTGGTACCAAAGTGAGAGTGGGTGTGGTTCCTGTAAGGGAGGCAGACTCAAGACAGCAATCAGAATCATCTCACTTGTGCAGATTTATGGTGTTGGTTAGTTGAGCATGATGGTTCTAGAGGTGAAATACTCTGGAAGACTACTAAATTCTTACTTTCTCTGTATACATAAGGCTGTTCTTGCATTGCTATAAAGAAATAGTTGAGACTGGGTAATTTATAAGGAAAGAAGTTTAATTAGCTCATGGTTCTACAAGGAAGCATTAGCACTGACATCTGTTTCTGGGGAGGCCTCAGGATCATGGTGGAAGGCAAAGCAGGAGCTTCCATGTCACATGGTGAAAGCTGGAGCAAAAGAGAGAGAGTTAGGTGCCACACTTTTAAACAGCCAGATCTCATGAGAAGGCACCCACTGTCATGAGAACAGCACCAAGGGAATGGTGCCAAACCATTCATGAGAACTCCACCCCCATGATCCAGTCATCTTCCACCAGGCCCCACCTCCAATACTGGGGATTACAGTTCAACCTGAGATTTGGCTGGGGATATATATCCAAACTGTATCACTGGGTAAGCAGAAAATTCCTAGGTCAAGTGAATATAAGTTTAACCTAGACCAGAGTCACAACTCCTCAATCAATTCCCATAGTAGAGCCAGTTTATAGCCCCAGAACCCCCTGGAGGGGAGGCCAAGTACTCTTGAGGAAGGAGCACCATACACTGCAAAAATAATTACACTGTTAAACTTCCTCACAACTTCCCAAAAGTAAGGTACCATTTAGCAGGGTAACTATGCAACGGGGAAAAGGAAATAATCAGACCTATTAGAAACTACTGGACACTGGCCCTGAACTGACACTAATTCCAGGAGACCTAAACCCCCTCTGTGGGTCACCAGTCAAAGTAAGGACTTATGGAGATCAGGTGATTCAGGGAGTTTTATCCCATGTCTGTCTCACAGTGGTCCCAGTGAGTCCCAAAATCCATCCTGTGGTTATTTCTTGTTTCCAGAATGCATGATTAGAATAGATATACTCAGAAGCTGGAAGAACCCCACATTGGTTCCTTAACTTGTGTAAGGGACAAGGGTTATTATGGTGAGATAGGCTAAATGGAAGCCGCTAGAACTGTCTCTGCCTTGGAAAGTAGTAAATCAAAGTTAGTACTGCATTCCTGGAGAGGTTGCAAACATTAATGCTACCATTAAGGATTTGAAATATGCAAGGGTGGTGATTCCCACCACATCCCCCATTCAATTCACCTATTTGTACTGTGCAGAAAACAAATGAATTTTGGAGAATGACAGATTACAGTAAGCTTAACTAGATAGTAACTCCAATTGCAGCTGCTGTATCAGATGTGGTTTCATTGAATAAATTAACACATCCTCTGATATGCAGCCATTGACATGACAAATGCTTTTTTTCCTCTGTATCTGTTCATAAGTCTCATTACAAGCAATTTTCTTTCAGCAGACAAGGCCAGCAATCCATCTTCGCTATCCTGCCTCACAGATATGTCAACTTTCTAGGCCGATGTTAAAATTTAGTTGACAGGGATCTTGATTACCTTTTACTTCCACAAGATATTACTGGTCCGTTACACTGATGGCATTACTGGTAAGACATACATGTCAGGGAGTGGTTAATAAATCCAACTAAAATGCTGGGGCCTTCTACCTCAGTACAATTTCGAGAGGTCTAGTGATGTTGGGCACATCAAGATATTCCTTTTAAGGTGATGTTGCTTCTGGTCTCTCCTACAACGAAAAAAAGAGACTCAACACTCTGTGGACCTCTTTGGATTTTGGAGGCATCATACTCCTCATTTGCGTGTGTTACTCTGACCCATCTACTGAGTGACCTAGAAAACTGCTGCTTTTGAGTGGGACCCAGAATAACAGAAGGCTCTGTAGCAGTCCAGGCTGCTGTGCAAGCTTCTCTGCTGCTTGGGCCGTATGATCTAGCAGATCCAATGGTGCTTGAAGTGCCAGTGGCAGATAGGATGGTGTTTGGAGACTTTGACAAGCCCTATAAGTGAGTAACAGCACAGGGCCTTAGAATATTGGAGCAAAGTCCTGCCATCTTCTGCGAATAACTCCTCTCCTTTTGAGAAACAACTCTTGGCCTGCTACTAGACCTTAGTAGATACAGAACTCGTAACCCTGGGCCACCAAGTTGCCATGTGATCTGAGCTGCATGTGATGAGCTGGGTGTTATCTGATTCACCAAGCTATGAAGCTAGGCATGCAGAGGAGCACTCCAGCATTTAATGGAAGTGGTATACACATGATTAGGTCTGAGCAGGCTCTGAGGCACAAGTAAGTTACATGAAAAAGTGACCCAAAAGCCCATGGTCCCCACATCTGCTACACTGACCTTTCTCTCGCAGCCTGCACTTATGGTCCCATGGGGAGCTCCCCATTATCAGTTGACTAAAGAAGAGAAGACTTGGGCCTGGATTACAGAGGGTTTTGCATAATATTCAGGAATCATCTGAAAGTGGATAGCTGCAGCACTGTAGCCCCTCTCTGGGACATCCCTGGACAGTGGTGAAGAGAAGTTGTCCCAGTGGACTCAACTTCAAATAGTGCACCAGGTTGTTCACTTTGCTTGGAAAGAACAAATGGCATAATGTGTAAACATAATTAGAAGATTGGTGACAAGGAAACCTGGGAAAGAGGTATGTGTGGGTGGACCTCTCTGAATGAGTGACAAAACCATGGTGATATTTGTGTCCCATGTGGATGCTCACCAAAGGATGACCTCAGCAGAGAAGAATTTTAAAAATCAAGTGGATAGGATGACCCATTCTGTGGATACCTATCAGCCTCTTTCGCCAGCCACTTCTGTCATCTCCCAGTAGACTCAGGAACAAAGTATCCATAGTGGCAGGATGGAGACTTAGCCTACATGGACTCCCACTCACCAAGGTCAACCTGGCCATGGCCACTGTGACGGTCCAGTATGCTTGCAACGCAGACCAACTCTGAATCCTTGATATGCACCTGGGGTAATAAGCCAGCTACCTGGTGACAGATTGATTACATTGGGCCACTTTCATCATGGAAAGGGCAGTGTTTTATTCTTACTGGAACAGACACTCTGGATATAGAATTGCCTTCCCTACATGCAATGTTTCTACCCAAGCTACCATCCATGGGCTTACAGAATGCTTTAACCACAGTCATTATTTTCCATACAGCAGTGCTTCTGATCAGGGAATTCAGTTAACAGCAAAAGAAGTGCAGCAATGGGTCCATGTTCATGGAATTCATCGACTTTACTATGTTTCCTACCATCCTGAAGTAGCTGGTTTGGTAGAATGATGGAATGGCCTTTTGCAGACTCAGTTACAGTGTCAGCCAGGTGGCAGTACTGAGCTGGGGAAAGATTCCTCAGGAGTCTGCATGCTTTAAATCAGCATCGAAAATATGATGCTGTTTCTCCAAAAGGCAGAATTCACAGGTCCAGGAATCAAGGGAAGAAAGTGGGAGTGGTCTCACTCACCGTTATTCCTAGTGACCTACTAGCAAAATGTTTGCCTCTTGATCCTACAACTTTATGATCTGCTGGCCTAGAAGTCTGTTTCAAATGAAGGATTGCTTCCACCAAGAGACACAACAATGCCTTTATAGAACTGGAAATTAAAACTGTTACCCAGTGGCTTTGGATTCCTCATGCCTGTAAATCAACAGGCAAGGAAGAGAGTTACTGGGCTAGTTCTGGTTATTGATCTTAACTGGCAAGGGGAACTTGGACTCGTACTTCCAAATGGAGATAAGGAAGGGTGTGTCTGCAATATATATACCCTTAGGGTGTCCTTGGGATTATAATATTCTGTAATTATGGTCAATGGAAAATGACAACCACCTAATCCAGGCAGGACAACTAATGGCCCAGACCCTTCAGGAATGAAGCCTTGGGTCATCCCAACAAGGAAATAATCACGACCAGCTGAGGTGCTTAGTGGAAGAAGTGAGGTGCTTAGTGGAAGAAGGTAGCTATAAATACCAGCTATGACCACATGACCAGTTACAGAAATCAAGATTGAAATTGTTATCAGCATTTCCTCCTTTTTTGTTATGAATACATACAAATGTGTGTGGGTGCATTAAGCAAATATTATTGTTTTTCTGCTGTCTTATTCCCTTATAAGGGATGTATTGACTATATCATTGCATTTAAGTGTTGTTGATTTTATATTATAACATTTAAGTTGCAGGATATCAAGGAGAAAAGTAAACATCATTCGAGGATTATACCTCCTTTTCTGGGGAAGGGGTAGGTGTGTCTTCAGTGGTACATGGGATGATGATATATTAGACAGAAGCATGGCCTTGCTATTTTCTTTATTTGGAGATTAAGTATAGTTTAAGGAGATGTGTATGGATGCCAAGTTGACAAGAGGTGGACTTGCGATGAATAATTTCATGTGGAAATTTGACTATGTCATGAGGTGCCGAGATGTTTAATGAAACATTATCCCAGCTATGTCTGTGATGGTGCTTTTGGATGAAATTAACATTTGAATCAGTAGACTGAGTAAAGCGAGCTTCTCTCCCTAATGTGAGTAGTCCTTACTCCATCAGTTGAAGGCCTGAATAGAACTAAAATTACTCTGACCTTCCAGTAAGAAAGAGAAAACTCCTGCCTGACTGTTTGAACTGGGTCATGACTTTTTTCTTGTCTTCAGACTAAACTGAAATATTGGCTCTTCTTGGATTTTGAGCCTGCCAGTTTTCAGACTGGAACTTCCACCATTGACTCTCGTGGTGCTCAGGCCTTCAGACTCAGACTGGAACTCTCCCATTGGCTCTCCTGGGTCTCCAGCTTGCCAACTGCGAACTTGACTTCTCAGCCTCCAGAATTACATAAGCTAATTACCTATAGTAAGTCTTTCTCGCTCTCCCTCCGTCTCTGCTATTGGTTCTGTTTCTCAGGATATTCCAGATAGTACAGTCACCTCTGGCTGAGAATTCCAACTTCTTCACTTTATAGATTATTCTTTCTCTATGATTCAAACATCCTATCTCATAAATAAGATTTATTTTCTCCCTCAATTTTCACCAAAAAAAGACACATATACATGTAACCCATTAGTTTATTTTCAATAACCTTACAGAAGATATGGAGGTGTAACAAGAATTACTGTAAACATAAGCCTTATATTCTTTCTTTTTGTTTTGTTTTGTTTTTTTTGAGATGGAGTTTCACTCTTGTTGCCCAGGCTGGAGTGCAGTGGCGCAATCTTGGCTCACCACAACCTCCACCTCCCGGGTTGAAGCTATTCTCCTGCCTCAGCCTCCTGAGTAGCCGGGATTACAAGCATGTGCCATTACATCTGGCTAATTTTGTATTTTTAGTAGAGATGGGTTTCTCCACGTTGGTCAGGCTGGTCTCGAACTCCCGACCTCAGGTGATCCACCCGCCTTGGCCTCCCAAAGTGCCGGGATTACAGGTGTGAGCCACTGCACCCAGGCCAAGCCTTATATTCTTTAAAAGTTAATTCCCCACTGCTTGGCCAGCTAATTCCCTCTGAGCTTCTCTAGCATGATCCTGGCTCTCCTTCCTGCATCTCCCTCCTTCCCGCATCTCCCTCCTTCCCCTCCCTTCTCTTCTGTCTTTTCTCTTCTCAGGAGCAAAAACTAAATTGGTCTCCTTTTCTCACACAAGATAGTTTTGGTGCCCCCTTTGCTGCTTTAACTCCTGCCAATGGGCATAACTTTGAAGTTTCAATTTTATCCCAAGCAGCTCATCAAACTAGTACTTCAACATTAGGAATTCTTCTGTAATAGGAATTCTAGTGCCAGCTATTCAAGTTATAAACATCTCAATCTGTCACAATCAAAATAACTGCCATTGACTGAGAACTCATGCTCCAATCACTGTTATGATGTGCTTCACTGACATTCTCTCATGTTCTTACAGAAACACCACATAGTCATGCTTTTTCTAACTGTGGCAGATGCTGCTGTGTTTCTAATCAATATCCATTTTCTTCTTCTTTTAAATTAAAGGGTGCTGCTCCATTCAGTCCCACTTTACTAGGCCTCTGCATTGCACCCCCGCATACTATTGTTGGTAGCTAAGGGCTCACAAGTGCCCTGTTCTCTCCTGAGCACTTCTTCAGACTTAAGGGAGCTGCCTCGCCTGGACAACCTGTAGCCAGTGACTGACTGACACATGGTATAAAGGGCTATTCCTCTAGCCTCAACGTCAGGCCAACTCTGTAATGCAATCCATGCTCCAAAACTCTGGGTGTCAGGCTGAGCCAGTCTTGTGCTGAGATCATCCTGGCTTAGATAGATCTCATCTTTGTCTCACCCTACTTACTATTCCCCTCTCATAAGGTTATTCTCTCAAGAAAAGTTGCTCAATAATTGCTATTGCAGGCTCTGCTTCTAGAGAGCCCTACCTGACAGATTGACTGCGCTGCAGAAAAAGCAATGAAGGCCATTAACAGAAGGAAACCAATTAGGGTATCACTGGAGCCTGGGTGAGTGGCGACCTAACAAGAGCTCACTCCAAAATGGTAGCAGTGGACACAGACAGGAGTTGGATCAACCAGTTCATTTGTTTTCCATAATCATATTTTATTTTCCTTGTAGCAATTATCACTCTCTGCTATTATAGCATTTTGTGTCTTTTAAAGTTTCTTTGTTTTTTGTTTTTGAGATGGAGTCTTGCTGTGTTGACTAGGCTGGAGTGCAGTGGCATGATCTCCACTCACTGCAACCTCTGCCTCCCAGGTTCAAGTGAGTCTCCTGCCTCAGCCTCCCAAGTAGCTGGGATTACAGGCACGTGCCACCACACCCGGCTAATTTTTTTAGGGGCGGGTATGTCTAGTCCAGACAGGGTTTCACCATTTTGCCCAGGCTGGTCTCAAACTCCTGACCTCAAGCAATCCACCCACTTCTCCCTCCCAAAGTGTTAGGATTACAGGCATGAGTCACCACGCCTGGTCTCCTTTAAAGTATTTTTAAATATTTACCTTGTTAAAAGTTTTTATCTTCCTTTAAAGAGATATAAGAATGAGGGCCTTTCTTAGGTACTATCATATTCTTTCTGCCCCTAAAACAGTGCTGGCAGACAATTCATGCAAAATACATATTTGTAAATAAGTGAATGAAAAATGAATGGAAGAAAAGTGATTGAGATTAGCTTGAGGCCTATGTGGGATTGAGGGAGCTGATTAGGTTATAAGTTGAGAGAGATCTAGAAATATCAAAAGAACTCTGGAGAATGATCTGTTTGGTATAATAAATTATATACTGGGAACTCAGGAGAGATACTATAAGGCCTAAGACGGTATTTGGGTGACTAAGCCCTTCACTTTAAAAGCTCAGTGTAGTACTTTATGCAAAACCTTGAAACTTACCGTATTTCTTTTTGGCATTTTGGGTGATGCTTAAGAATGTTAAATAATGAAAGACTCTTTGTGTTACCTGTACTGTGTGTGTATTAGAATTGTAACCTATTTCAGTTTTCGTCTCATCACCAACAAGCTTTTCAAAGTAGTAGAAACTACTTTTTCAGAAGGTGAAGTAATGCTGTTTTGTCCAGTGGGTGATTACTTGCTGTGAATACTTAGTGATCATCAGGCTTGGAAACATGCGTAGGTGTGTATAATAAATGAGACCGCTACTACCTGTTAATTGTACTTTATAATTGCAGTTTATCTCCTCTGTACACCTGCAGAGTCCTGGCTCATATCACAGAGAAAAGGTCGTTACTGTGGCTTGACTGAGAGAGCTCATTTATTAAAGCTCTAAGGGGTTGTATTATCAACTTCATCTCATGTCTTTCTACATTATCTAATATTCTCCATTCAGATGTACACAAAAAATATCCATCTTTTAATGCGTATCTGATGTACATATATGCTGTTATCGTTATTGTTAAAGAACTTTAGTTATTTAAAGTTAGTAAATTAAAGTTATTGTTATGGTTATGCTGTTAAGTTATTGATGGTTAAATCAACAACTTTTAGGCAACAAATTGGTTGATCGCTTATTGTTGATTTTAGGCAGTTGCCAAGCAATATTAATGTCCTAACATTAAGATTAATGGAGTGTATCATTCATTGACTTGATCATTTCCCTCCCATTTCTATTGCCCTGTCCCTTGGGGTGCTGGCATTGGGTTCGTATGTGTGCAATCGAATCTTTTCCGTGGCAGATGCTGAGGAGCAAGTCCTGACAGTGAATAGCCATGTGTTTAGTCAGCTGTTTACACAGGCTCAAGGAAACGAGAATTTTATGGAAAGTTGATAAGACATCTCACTACTTTCAAATTCATTTTAGAAAAGTATAGTATGAGAAGAAGAGCTTCGACAAATATTGTGTCTAAAAAGCTAAAAACATCCTGATCTTCGTAACCGAGTGGCTAACAAATAAAGAAACTCACACAACGCTCAGTTAAAGGAGTCAAAATAAACTGTCATAGAATACACATCATGATGAGGTCTTATTTAGCAATATTATATTCCCTTTAACTGCATTTGTAATGTTGACTTAAATGGGAGAATACTGCATTCCTTTGCCTTTTCCTCTCTCTGAAGGTTTTGAGAGAAGAAACAGAAGAAGTTGTAGAAAATCAACTCTGCTTCCTTTTACTAATTGTGAATATAAGCTCACCGTACTCTGGAGTGAAAATAAAAACAATGTTTTAGTTGATTGTATCTACCAATGCCATCTACTCCACATTCTTGCTTTAATTGGTAGCTTATTTTAAGAAAACACTATGACTTCTTTGTAGAAAATGTACTTTAAGATCCCAGAAGCATTTAATTCCTCAGGAAAACTTATCAGGATGTCATATAATGATTAAAAAGACGTTCAAAATCAGTAATTTTCATCAGCTGATCTGCTTTCTTGGTATTTTATACTGTAATACCCTTTACTATATGTGATCTCTGAATAGATAAGTCAGCTTTCAATGCTCACAGTTTTTAACATAGAGTATTTTTTTTAAACTTTGAGTATTTTATAGATTAGGGACAGTGACTTTCACTGAATGAAACTATACTTACTTCTGGTATAAAGAGAATATATACTCATCTACACATGCTCCACTTTGCACTACAGCTGAAGGACTCTGAAAGCACACCGCTCTGGGTTTTAGCTCGAGGGCATCCCGTGGGTGGGTCACTGAGCAAAAGCATTATAGGACATCCCGTTCTACAAGGAATGAGGACAAAGCCCAGGCTTTTCTAGAAAGTTCCTCTATATATCAAGATACTGCATTCTTAGCACATTCTACAGTTATTCTAAAACTGTAAGCCAGGAAATGGGGAAGGGGAGAAGAAAGCTGGGTCCGCTGAGGCCATCTAGGGGCCAGTCCTCCTCCAGAGGCCGTTAAATTGGTCCAGGAAAGAGAAAAATATGGCTTTGATCAGGGTGGTGACAATGGAGTTCTTAATCAGTGGTAGGGTTTTTGATAGGTTTTGTAAGTGTGATAGAACCAATAAGATTTCTTTCTAGACTGGATGTAGAGTGTGAGAGAAGAAGAGTGGTGATCCCAAAGTCATTAGCTTGGGCACCAGATGGAATTGCCATCAACGGAGATTAAGGAGGAATGATTTGTCCCTTAAATTGCACAGTTGTAGCAATAGATGAGTTTACTAGGAAATAAAACATGTGTTTGCAAAGGACTGGTCTATTTCCTTAAGAAAACAGAAACTAGGCCGGGCGCGGTGGCTCACGCCTGTAATCCCAGCACTTTGGGAGGCCGAGGCGGGCGGATCACGAGGTCAGGAGATCGAGACCATCCTGGCTAACACGGTGAAACCCTGTCTCTACTAAAAATACAAAAAATTAGCTGGGCGTCGTGGCAGGCGCCTGTAGTCCCAGCTACTCGGGAGGCTGAGGCAGGAGAATGGCATGAACCCGGGAGGCAGAGTTTGCAGTGAGCCAAGATCGCGCCACTGCACTCCAGCCTGGGTGAGACAACGAAACTCCGTCTCAAAAAAAAAAAAAAAAAAAAAAGAAGACAGAAACTAAAATATTAGTGCTCATTTTATGCCTGTCTTTGTCAAAACACTAGGACATTAAATAACATGTAGGGCAATACAAACCAAAAATGTAATAAGCATGCAATGCCCATATCCTCCACCCCAGTAAAATAATTCATGTATTCAGCTTGCATCCAAATTATTTATTATTATTATTCTGCCAAAGTGTTTCACACAGGTTGCCATTTTAAATTTTGTTTTTGATGAAATGTCTGTTGAAATGCTCCTTTGGAGAAATGACTGTACTTTCTCTTGATTCCTTGACTAAATTTTCACAGAATCGTTTGATCGGAAACTATATAGAAATGTGTTCACTATTATCCATTAGAGTTTATTAAGCAATGAAAGAAATGAAGGCATAAGGATAAAACGTCTGCTCAAATTTCTGAGCAGTCACTTTCTCATTAGAGCTCTTGTATTTGGGGACTCTAATGTGGAAATACCGTGAGAATTTAAAGAACAAATAGTACATCCTCCTCCCTTAGAAGGTATCAGAATTTTTAATTTTTATATTATATTGTATTATATTATATTATATTATTATTATATTGTATTATATTATATTATATTATATTATTGTATTATATTATTATATTATATTATATTATATTATATTATATTATATTATATTATATTATATTATATTTTAAGACGGACTCTAGTTCTGTCACCCAGGCTGGAGTGCAGTGGCGCCATCTGGGCTCACTGCAAGCTCCGCCTCCCAGGTTCACGCCATTCTCCTGCCTCAGCCTCCCATGTAGCTGGGACTACAGGCGCCCGCCACCACGCCCGGCTAAATTTTTTTGTATTTTTAGTAGAGACGGGGTTTCACCGTGTTAGCCAGGATGGTCTCGATCTCTTGACCTCGTGATCTGCCCGTCTCAGCCTCCCAAAGTGCTGGGATTACAGCTGTGAGCCATTGCGCCCAGCCCAGAAATTTTTTTTAATGGTGAATCTTAAATGGTGAATTTAGATAATAACCTAAGATAATTTTGTAGAAATGCAAAATTTGCAAAATAATTTCTGATCATAAAAGGAGGATAGGTGAAAGCTTATCCCAGGTGGTGTCTGACCTGCTCTTGTATGTCTGGATTTTCACACTAGAGTGCAATGATGTGGCATATCCACTCTGATTTTTGCAAGTTTAAGAAGTTACTTTAGACACATTGTAATGTTTCTTTAAGCATATTTCACTCCCATAAATGGGGTAACAACAGTCCATATTAAAGTTAGTAATATATTACAATTAAAGTGTCTAATTCTCAGATCCTTTGTAACACATGGGCTACAATAAATCACATACAAAAAAAGTCTTAAATTATTAGAATCTATTATGTAAAAAGTGACTAAGAGAATCATGCTAGTTTTCAATTTATTGCCTCTGATCTCCAAATGCAGTCTTCAATACATGTTCTGTACTAATGGACATCTTTAAGCATTTCTGCTTACCAGTAAGGATACCAGTAAGCAGAAAGAAGACTGTTCTGCTCTTTCCAGCTGCTGCATGGTGTGCCAGCAGTGTGGGTATGAGAACATCTGGTGTCATTCTGCCCCAGTGACATGTTCAAAATACACCACCCCTCAGTCCTAGCCTGTCCTAGTGACCACCTTCATGCAGCCCTCTTGAGAGAGACGCTATGTGGTCCAGGTCTCTTGCCCACACTGCCACCCTGATTCCCTCTGCCTGCTTGTCCCTACCTTCCAGACTTGTCTTGTGAGGTCCCCCCGATGCAGCGGCCCTCCTCTCAGGGTTACCATATGCTCTAAGCTTTGTGCTGCACTGGCATTGCAGGGAAGTTTACATTTTCCCACTGAAGTTTTGATAATGTAAGCCTATGAAACAAACTGAAAATAGGCAGATTAACAGAAGAAAAGGCATACAAATTTATTAACATGCATATGGGCTTGGGTATCACATACAAAGTATTAATAAACTCAGAGCGAGGGTCAGATGGTTGAAGTTTGTATGCCATCTCGAGGCTACAGAAAGAATGGCAGCTCAGAGCATGGCCAAAACCAGGTTATGGTGGTGAATCAAGTTATGGTGGTGGGACATGTTATGGGAGGGAGAGAAGAGGAGGCCTAGCAGCAAAGCTGGTCTTGTTATGTAGCTGAAACCTCACAGGTAGCAGCCATCACAGAAAATAGATGGTAAATGTTTCTTTGAGAAGTTTAAAGGTGTCAGACTAGACTCAGATGAGGAAGGGCCCCAGAGAAACCTGGCTGTATCAAGGCAGATTCTCTATGGATGCAAACCTCCCTCCTGAGGAAAGACAGCTTTTCAGGGCTACTTCTATTTGCAGACCGTCTGAACAGCCATCTCAAAAGATGTCAAAGAAGGATATTTGGGGGTGAAATATTTTGATTTTCTTCACAGGCATACATTTTACATGGCAGAATCATAATAAAGTATAATTAAATAAAACTAAAGTACAAGTATAATTAAAGTGAATACCTAGTCCTATAACAGATACATTCCACAAAAATGTAATGATTAACACCAGGGGCAGTTATATTTCAAGCTCATGCTTCTCAGCTTGTCTGTTCTTGTAGCAGTGTAGGTCAAATCAGAAGATAAAAACCATAGAGTGATTTCAACAGAAATTTAATATAAAGAATTATACCATGATAAAAGATTAACTATAGGATATAAGTGAACTCTATAAGTTAATCTAGAGCTGAGGGAAGATACTCAAGGAAGAACGAACTTGGAAAGAGAAGCCCTTCCCCAAAGCTGTAGTTAAGACTTTATTGGAGAAGGTGTTTTATCCTACTGAATTACAGAGAAGTCTATCTGTTTACCTGGGTCAGAGCGGGCCTGCAGTCACAGGTGAAGCCGAGCTATGGACTGAATTGCAGCCCGTCCCAATTCATAGGTTAAATCCCTAACTGCCAATTTGGCTACATTGGAGATACAGTCAAATTGTAGGTTAGGGATTTAACATATGAATTCGGACGAGCCGCAATTCAGTCCATAGCTCAGCTTCACCTGTGACTGCGGACCAGGTTAAGCCAAGCTATGGACTGAATTGCTATGACCTGAATTCATTTAGACTACATTTGGAAGTAATTAAAGTGACATTAGGTAATTAAAGTTACACCCCATCAGATTAGGTTGGGCCCCGAATCTGATAGGATTGGTGGCTTTTTATGAAGCCTGTAAAACAAACTGATTATAGGCAGATTTTTTAAAGGCATACCCATTTATTAATGTGCATATGGATTTGGGAGTCATATGCAAAGTATGAGGCTCAAAGCAGGGGTCAGATGGTTGAAGTTCTCTCTCCCTCTCTCTCTCTTTCTCTCTCCTTATACATACAGTTAAAGAAGGCCATGTGAGAACACAGCTAGAAGGCGACCATCTACAAGCCAGGAAGAGATCCCTCACCAGAAACCAACTGGCCAAAACAACATAACTTTGGACTTCCCAGCCTGCTGAACCGTGAGAAAATAAATTTCTGTGGTTTAGGCCACCTAGTCTATGGTACTTTGTTATGGCAGTTCAAGGAAACATATACAAGCAGGAAATAACTCTCTGGAATGAGGATGGGGTGCAGGTAAGCAATAGCGAGTGGCTGGGTGCCTGATATACAAAAGGAGTAAAGGTATACAAACCTTTCCTTTGCTAAAGGAAATCAAAAATATTTCACCCCAAAACATAGTTCTTTGATGTGTCTTGAGGTGGCTATTCAGAGGGCCAGCAGACAGGAATAGTGCAGAAAAGCTGACTTTCGTGGAGTAGATTTGCATTTGTGCAGAAAATCTATATAGGTGAAATAAACAGCCAGGCTTTCTCTGAGATTCCCCTTCTGCAGCATGGTATACAGGCTTCTGAACCCCACTAAGGTATTGACAATCACTCTGTGATTCTCTTTGTGCAACTAATAAATTTGCATGCCATTTCTCCTGTTAATTTACCTTTTTTGAGTTGATTTTTCAGCAAACCTTCAGAGGGCAAAGGGGAAGCTTTTCATTGGCCTCTACACCTGGTTTCCACTTGATTAATTGGCCTCCTGAAACTGCCCAGCTGTTCGAAATGATTTATGCATCTATGTGGCATGGATCACTTCACTATGTCCAGTACTAACCTAAGCAATGCAGGCTCTTGCCCATTCGAGATGAGACTCTAATAAAGCATGAACATTGTCTAAGCCACCTAAAACTTTCATAGAGAAGATAGTCGTTGATTTCACAAATTGGTTCACAGAAAAAAAGAATGGGACCATTATGTATAATTAACCTTACCATTATTATCATCTGAGAAGTCTTTTTCTATATTTTAAAGTAAATGTCAATTTAGATAGTGAGAACTATAAACTACATTAAGTTGAAATGAAAATGCTGACCATATGTTAATAACTTCATGTTAAGGAAATATATGCACTCGCTGAGAAAGTCTACCATTTTATGATATCATGAGCAATTAAATATTTTGAATTATTTTTCATTTTATATATATACTATTTGCATTTTTTGGTTTGCTTATAATATTCTCTTTATATACAACCCCCAAAATAAAAATAATTTGGAAAGACATGAAGAAGAAGCTACCTACCACCAAGAAACTACCACCAAGATATCAAAGATAAACAGAACCAATATTTTGCTGAGCAGACTTCCATGTATTTACATGTCCATACACATGGACTTAGGACTAAATAAATTGTCACTAGTGGAATCACACTGAATCCTTGCTAGATCATGCTAGGCCATGAGTGCAGAACTTGTATATTGAGAAATAAAGAGAATCCTAAGCCCCCCACTTGACTGAACAGACTTCCTCTTGGTCAAAGGGACCAGAGGTTTTTAAGGTTTCTCTAGAGAATGGCTAACGACCATTAGGCTTTCTTCCCTAAGGGTGAAGGCAGAAACCAGCCCTTTCAAAAGTCTTGCCCAGTGATTTCAGCCAACTGCCTGACACTTGTCCTCCCTCTTGCAGCTTTAACACAGAAACTGACCAGCATTCCTTCCCAATAAGAGACCACCCACCACAGCATGGCTCTGGCCAGTCTACAAAGGCTGTGTACTAAGCGCCTTCGTATCCTCCACTTCACCTTTTGATGTACAAGGCCTAACTGAAATACATTTAAATGCTATGTCTCCACCCCAAAGTGAACATGGGACACATGTTACATACATGTTAGCCTTTCTTATTCCTCCCTCCCTGGAAACACTTATTTTCTGCTCAGTTCAGAGGTTCAGAGTTTCTGCGTCCTGCCTGCGGGTTGTGGTAACCTGCTTTAGAAATATAGCCCTCTTCCCAAATATATGAACCATGATTCTTCAAGTGGACAGAATGATTTATGGACTTCCATAAGCATGTGCATGGTGGGCTCACAGTACACATTTCTGGAATCACTGAGTAAATGCTATCGACAAACTGTATTTTTTCAGGTTAATATTATGTCATGGAGACATCCCAATTCATCCAGGTGGCTGGCTAAGATAACTTAACAACAACACCCAACTTTTGTAATTAGAAACACCTAGAGACACTAGAAAATACATAATAATTCTCCTTTCCATTCTCTGTATTTAGAGTTGGGTGTTGATAGCATTGCAGATATCAGAGATAAAGACTTTGGCCTTTGTGATATAATGAATGGGAATACAGATGCCTGCACCCAGCCAGCACATAGAAAATAGGGCACATTCAAACAGTAGACTGATTTTTTTAAAGAGAGAAAGGATAGGGAACTTTGCTATTCTCTAGGTGAAAACAGAAATTTCTCCTTAGAAATAAAGCACTATACTTATTCCTTGCAGGTATTTAGAGACTAAATATACATAATCAGCTTTGTAAGTACTTAAAATGCTTAAAATAATACATTATTATAAAGTAAGAAGTAATAATAAAATTCACCTTTATGCATATAAAAAGCCTCAATACATATGATGTAAAAGTTGACAAAATCATGATAAGTGAACAGATATTCCAGAGAGACAGTTTAAAATACCTCTCTCACTGTGGGGAGGGGACAAGTTATTTAATGGATGTAGTTTCTGTTTCACAAGATGAAAAACTTGTGGAGACTGGTTGTGTTCTGAATGCGAATACACTTAACACTACTGAATTGTATTTAAAAATGGTTAAAATTGCCATTTTATGTTGTATTTTGCCACAATTAAATAATACTTCCCTCAGATACTGGTTGAGCAATAAACCAAAAACAAAATCTCAAAATAAGGATATTTGAAAACACTATTTATGAAAATTTTATGAAAAGGGTATTAACAGACCATAATATTCAAAAATGACAAAAAATGCTTTCCTTTCAAGTTGATATGAAACACTTATAAAAATTGCAGTGTACTAGGCCACAGCAAGTATCAATAAATAATAATAATCGGGCCAGGCGCAGTGGCTCATGCCTGTAATCCCAGAACTTTGGGAGGGCTAGGTGGTCAGAACATGAGGTCAGGAAATCGAGACCATCCTGGCCAACATGGTGAAACCCTGTCTCTACTAAAAATACAAAAATTAGCTGGGTGTGGTGACACGTGCCTGTAATCCCAGCTACTCGGGAGGCTGAGGCAGGAGAATTGCTTGAACCCAGGAGGCAGAGGTTGCAGTGAGCTGAGATGGCGCCATTGCACTCCAGCCTGGCAATAGAGTGAGACTCCATCTCAAAAAAAAAAATAGTAATAATAATAATTAATATGATCATATTCTTAGACCACAATTTGACAACATAGATTTTGTTAACCAGAAGATCACTATATACTATACTTTGCGAAATTTAAAAATACATTTGAAATAAGAAAATGAAGTTATGTTTAGAACAGAATGGCAATAAAAACACTACATATCAAAGCTTGTATATGTTTGGTGCAACTAAAGCATTCTTTAGAAGGTGGTTTGTATTTGTAAATATATTTATTAGTAAAGAGAAAGCCTAAAAAAATATCAGTGGGGTAGGTAACTCCATCAGAAGGGAGACTCCATACATAAGACTACTTACATGACTACAGAGTTATATAAGAAAGACAAACAGCTCAAAATGTAGAAATAGCCAAATTATAAGGGAAGCCAGTGCATGAGATCTTCTGCTTCAGGTCCATTGGGAAAGAATGGGCAACTCTAAATATTAATGGTACTGGGACATTAGTTACAGATGAGAAAAAATATAAAATTGGACCCCTACCTGTCACTGGACACACAAAAAAAATGTAAGTTCTAATGAGTTAAAATAAAAAATAAAAAAATTTAAAATTCAGAAAATATGAAGAAATAGTTTATACCTTCCAGTGGACAAGGATTTCATACCCAAAACACAAAACTATGAAGTAAAACATTGGTTCATTTTACAACAATAATATTAACATTTTAGTTTATCAAAAGACTTTATAAAAAGGGAATAGAAGCCATTAGCGGAAAGAAGATGATTTGCAACACCTATGAAAAAGGAGTAGTGTTTATGGAATATGAAGAATTTATACAAATCAGAAGAGAAACGAATACAAAACTGGACAAAGGAAACATATAACCTGGCATTTCATAAACAAAGAAAATCATCTTACTTATAAACTTAACAAAGATGCTCCACCTCCACATGTGGAAGTCAAGAACAACTGAAGTTCAGCAGAACACCCTGAAGTCAAGATTTTGTCGTGTGTGTGTGTGTGTGAGAGTGTGTGTATATTTTTTATGTTCTGAGTCTGCATATTTTATTGTATACTTTATGGACATTTTCCCATGTCATTAAGTTAAGAGAAAAGCATTGATGACTCATTCAACATATATTTAGCGAGTTGTTACCATGTGCAGTATAGTTTTCTAATTACTGGAGCTAGATGAATGAACGAAATAAAAACAAAAATCTCTGCCTTCATGAAGATTCTATTCTGGGAAAGGCAGACCATAAACAAGAAAAATATAGTATATTAGACAGTGATGAGTGTTAAGAAGCAAAGTAAAATAGAAGGCTAAAAAGCATTGGTCGGGGGAGTGAAAATTTTGAAGTTCAATAGGTGAGTAAAGTTCTAACTGAATAAATCAGCCATACATAGGAATATTGTACAATTCAATCATCTCTCCATGGTTCAATATTTAGGTATTTCTATACTTTGACATTGTAATAAAAGGAAGTGAAAACACTGTCACATGTCTTTGCCAGTGTCTCCAATTATTACCTTAGAAAGGTTTCTTTTTTTTTTTTAATCTTTTTAATTTTTTTCTTAAGACAGTCTTACTCTTGTCGACCAGTCTGTAATCCAGTGGCATGATCTGAAGGAAGTTGCCAATGACAATAAGACAGTTCACTCAAATGTTACCTCTAGAGGCAGACAGTAATTCCTGCCACAAATATATTTTAAAATCCTAAATTTATTGTTAAAAATCTGGTAATGGTTAGTACAGTAACAGAGATGGAAGGGGAAAGAAACATATCAATGAGAAGAGATGTTTTTCTATAAACAATATAGACAAAGAGAATCAAATGTTCTGTTACGTTAGACATCACAGCCACTCATGTAATCTCAATGTATGGTTCCATACGGAAAGAGCAGCTGATTTCGGAAAACACATCCCCCCAAAAAGCTGTCTAAAGCAGTAGAAAGGAAATCTTTGAGCCACCAAGTTGTAAACTGAAGAGCTCCCCAAAGGCTCATGACATACGATACTGTATCTGGTCCTAAGTCCAGCAGCTTGCCACCTAAAAGCCAGAGTCAAGACATGGATGGGTGGAAGGAAAAAATGGTTTTAATCAAGGTGTGAGAGCGGCAGGAAGGAAGATAAAGAGAGTGGATGACTGAAGTATATTTTTAAAACTGAGCCTCTTAGTTACAATACCGTTGAGAGTGTGGGGGAATAAGGCTGGAGGGATGACCAGCTTTAAAGGAGGCTGCTCACAGGGTTTCCTATGTGAGCGCTGCAATCTGCAGTTATGTAACTTGGAGGATTAAGTGGGGCTGGAAACAGGAGGATTTATTGAATGTCTTAGTGTTTTAGGAGTGGTTGAAGACGGCCCCACATGTCCATTTCTGTATAAAGGACAAAATGTTCATTTTCCGTAGAGGATAAAACAGAGAGTCTCTGGACTGGAGACCACTGAGACCAATTGAGGAAAGGGTACAATACTGAAAACAAAGCACACACTGAAAATTGAGATTCGCAGCTTTTCTCATTTCTAGCTTTTAGGATGCTGACAACAGGGCTTCCTTCCTCCAAAAAGAGAAATAAATAAATCAATAAATATTCATCTGTGGGGATTAGACCAGGTCAGTAAAGATAAGCCAAAAAATCCTGACATTGGTCTGGCACAGGGGCTCACGCCTATAATCCCAGCACTTTGGGAGGCTGAAGCGGGCGGATCACGAGGTCAAGAAATCGAGACCATCCTGGCCAACATGGTGAAACCCCGTCTCTACTAAAAATACAATAATTAGTTGGGCATAGTGGCACGTGCCTGTAGTCCTAGCTACTCGGGAGGCTGAGGCAGGAGAATCACTTGAACCCGGGAGGTGAAGGTTGCAGTGAGCCGAGATGGCGCCACTGCACTCCAGCCTGGTGACTGAGCGAGACTCTGTTTCAAAAAAAAAAAATCCTGACATTAGGCATTTCCCCCAAAAATAGATCTAATAGCAAAATAATGGTCCTAGTGGTGAGTTTCTAACACTAAATAACTAGAGGGATTTCAGGGCAAGCATGTGGGGCTTTGACTAGTAAGTAAAGACTAGTAAGTAAACCCTGGATTTAAATCACAATGTGAGTTCTGGAGATCTCACAGTGTGAGTTCTGGAGAGCTCTGAGCAGTAGAGAGATGGAAGGGGCTTCTTGGGAGACTCATCCAGCCAGGAAAGAGAACTTTAGAAGGTTGAGCCTGAAAGCAGGGAGCTCACTGCGGAGGTGAGAGGGGTTGGGGGTCGGGGGGGCAGTGGGGAGGGAGGGGAGGTTGGCATTCAGTCCACAGGGCTCCTGGGTTTTTCTGAACCTAGAGACTTCCTAAAATATTTAGTATTCCTGGGATTAATGTCTATTACCTATTTTCTGAATGGCATGCTTTGTAGTTCTTCTTATAGGAAAGTTCTTGTTCATTATAAGACAATTACGAACTTCCTGAAACTCTAAAGAAAGCTGAATGTTGCAAAGTAAGCTCACGGCTGAAAATACTCTTCCATTTTCAACAACCTTGTTACAAATCTCGACAAAGAGAAGACTCTTAGTGAACACACAAAGGGGACCTGAATCAGGAGAAGCTCAGGCTCTCCCAGGAGCTCCCCTAAAGGGTTTAGTTAAGTCTCAGGGGAGCTTCCACAAAATGGAGTTCTCCTGGAAACAATCACTGACTAGTTGTTTTCTCTTAAAATATCAATTTCCTAAGACTAAGAGAAAAATTAAAACACATTTAAATTATATAGAGTTTATTTGAGCATTTGGAGATTCTTTTTGTTTTCTTTTCTCTTTTCTTTTCTTTTTTTCTTTCTTTTGAAACAGTTTCCCTCTTGTTTTCCAGGCTGGATTGCAATGGGTCCACCTCGGCTCACTGCAACTTCTGCCTCCTGGGTTCAAGCAATTCTCCTGCCTCAGCCTCCCGAGTAGCTGGGATTACAGGTGCCTGCCACCATGCCAGGCTAATTTTTGTATTTTTCGTAGAGATGGGGGTTCACCATATTGAACAGGCTGATCTCGAACTCCTGACCTCAGGTGATCCACGCGCCTCAGACTCCCAAAGTGCTGGGAATATAGGTGTGAGCCACCACACCCAGCCCATTTGCTCTAGCAGATTATTCTCTACTCATGTAAGGGTGGAAAGTATATGTAGTTCGTTTACTGTGACTCTTCCAGTTTCTTTTTTACAGAGAACCCACAAAGCTAGAAGATGGCTACTAGATGAATTATGTGGGCTCTCCAGAGTTACAAGTAACTATACCATAAGAAATTGAAATTCATGCTTTTCATTTAAATTGTCAAATTTCTTGCCTTAAAGTTGTTCAGCATACATATTATTATAATTCTTGTAGTATCTCTAGGGTCTATAATAATGTCCCATTTTATATTCTTGATATTGGTGATGTTTTCCTTTTGCTAGGTGTTTTGCAGTTTTTAATAATCTTTTCAAAGCATCAGCTTTTGGCAGCACAGATTTTATTATTGGTCTGTGTTCCATTTCATTGGTTTTCATTTTATTTTTAATTTTTTCTATTTACTTTTGATGCTTAATACTTTATTTTCAAATAGTTAAAATTTTATAAAAATCAAAGGTGCATATAAGGCTTTGACTTTAACAAATTAAAGCAAAATGAGATTTTTACAACTTCTTCAATGTTAATTTAGTAATAAAATGTTTTTTATTAGCCAAAATATTTCTGCTTTTCCCAAGATGAATGATTTCCCAATGAAGGAGCTTTGATTCTAAGAAATTGTTCTTGTCTCTTCTTGACTAAGATTTTTAAATGATGAAATGAAGCACCATTCTTTAAATGTCTCATGTAATATTTACTATAGACTGCTGATAATCTTTTAAAGCAGCTAAGGATGTTAAAATGCTGCCTTTGAGGTAACCAGCCATTTTACAGGAAATATGATACTATTTGGTGTTTTAAAGATGTTAAAATTAATTTCAGTCCTTGAAAATATGTATATAGATACGTATATAATTTACATGAGAAAATAGCCTTGGTATTTCAAGAGGAAATAAAAATTGTTGTGCCATACTGTGCTGGGTTTATTATCTATATTCCAGTTATGAATTCATATTATTAAGGTCTTTTAATTCAAGAGATGAAGAAATAGTTTAAATATTTCACTCCAAGTGAATGGTCTGTCTCTTAGATGATTAAAGAAACAGAATAGTTCTTCTCTACTTTTTATCATAGTGACTAATACTAGCAAAGCACTTCAGTCCTTCTCTAGGAAAATCACCTTGTTTTTCTACATGATTTGTCTCTCAGTTACGCACATGTTCTATTTCCTGGGCAGGGGTGGAAGGGGAGTTGCTCTGTAGAGTCTCTGGTCTCACGGCAGACCCTGTGAGCAAGAAATAAACTTAGAGGAGGCCAGCCACTGAGACTTGGAGGGTTTATTTGCCATTACCGCACAGCCCATCTTATCCTGGAAAATGTACCACATGAACACAAACATAAAAAACAAGACATTTTGTATTTTAAAAATATAACTCAAATTAAAAACAACAAGCTTTTATAACCTGATGTTAGTATAATCATTTGCAAATATTACTGGATATTGTGCCAGTGGCTGTAGTTGGGATGAGGGTCACAGCTGTGCTGCAGAAATATGACCTGGACCTTGGGTCGGGAGAAATCTTTGGCCCTAAGTCTCTTGGCCATCAGAGGCAACTGCAAAGTCAAAGTGCACCAAATACTCCCATTCCTGCTGCACTTTGTGATGAGCTATAGAAATTCAGAAAATGCCAGCCACCCAGGATGTTGGTTGGACCTTTGCCTTCAGAAGGTTTGCCCATCTGGGTCATCATAGAGGAGATGGTGGCTGGACGGAGGCTCTGATAATCTGCTCCTAATGTTCATCTTTCTAGTGCAATGCCCATTCATCAGGACAAAGAGAGAAGGAGCCCTTTACTACCTCTCCCTCCTGAGGGCCGCAGGCTGTTAGGGCTGGCCTCCGTCCTCGATGCAGTGTGCAGGTTATTGTGGATGATCATCTTGGTACTGGGCCTCTCCTGCCTGCTGGGTCAGGCTTGGTGGATAAAGAGACTGGCTCACCACTGCAAGAGTCTTCTGGGCTGACATATGGTGAGTGAGGCATTTGATGGGTGTAATTCTGGTCTTCGGGATTTATTGCCGTAAGTTGGTCAGTGCTGCCTGGTGGTGAAGTGAAGCCATCCTTTGATGGCTTCATCCATTGCAGACATGATATTCTATATCTTCTCTGGTGCTGACCTTCTTCATACCCTGCAACAAGTTCCAGAAGTGGAAACAGTAAAACATCTGCCTCTCTGTCACCACGTTTTTCTCTGTGATCATCTGAAGAGACTGTATGACATGAGCCTCTTCATCAGAGCTGAGCTGAGGCATGGAGACCTTTGAGGTCACCGCATTGTGCCCATCTTCCTCTCATTAATGGGCAGGACTTTCTCATCTCCCTTTTCATCTTCCATGTCATCTTCAGTTTTCAGTGAGCCATCATTCCAACCTGCTGGCCAACACCCAGGAATGGAGGACATGGAGTTAGAAGAGTCAGTGCATGAACAGCAAGACCTTCCAGATGCATGAGCACAACGCAGCTCTCTGAACGGCACGATTTCCCAAAGGCGCTTTGGGAAAACTTACCTGATTGTCCTCTTAGAAGAAACAGGTATCGGCCCACTGGGATAGTGGTAGTGCTCCACGATGAGACTATCCCAAATGCTACATCAAGTTACACTGGAAACAGCTCCAGTGAAAGACTTTAGCTCCATAAGGAGAACTTATTAGTGGGATATATAGCATGGTT